>NC_000011.10:36575151-36726666 GCF_000001405.40 Homo sapiens | reverse complement strand
CAAAGGGGAGGTGGGGAAGCAGATGACCAAATAAATAAATAAATAAATAAATAAATAAATAAATAAAAAGTATATTACATTAGTTTTCGGTGGCTGCTGTAACAAATTACCAAATACTTCGTGGCTTAAAACAACAGAAATTTACTCTCACACAGTTCTGGAGGCTGGAAGTACAAAATCAGTACCACTGGGCTGAAATCAGGGTGTCAGCAAGGCAATGCCCCTTATAGAGGCTGGCCCCAGCAAATCATTCCAACCTCTGCCTCTGTGGTCACCTCCTCCCTCCCTCTGTCTCTGTGCCTAATCTTCTGTCTCTTTTATAATGACACTTATGTTGGCATTTAGCCCACCCAGTAATCCACAATAATATCCCCACATCAGCCTCCTTAACTTTATCCTATCTGCAAAGACTCTTTTACCATTTGTAACATATTTTACAATTATTAAAAATTATAAAATTTTATAACACATTTCATTTGCAACATTTATAGGTTCCAAGGATTAGGACCTGATACTTAGGGGGCTGATATGGTTTGGCTATGTCCCCACTCAAATCTCATCTTGAACTATAGTTCCCACAATTCCCATGTGTCATGGGAGGGACCCGGTGGGTCTTTCCCATGCTGTTCTCATGATGGACAATAATTCTCATAATAATGAATAAGTCTCATGATAGTGAATAAGACTCATAAGATCTGATGGTTTTATAAAGGGCAGTTCCCCTGCACATGCTGTCTTGTCTGCCACCATGTAAGACGCGCCTTTGCTCCTACTTTGCCTTCCACCATGATTGTGAGGCCTCCCCAGACATGTGGAACTGTGAGTCCATTAAAACCTCTTTTTACTTATAAAATACAGTCTCTGGTATTTCTTCATAACAGTATGAAAATGAATTAATACACAGGCCATTAGTCAACCTACTACAGTCATCTTCCACTTTTACTTGGCAGACAGGATCCCACCATCTCCAGAGCTGTTCATTCACAAAGATCATCTTTGAAGCTGCCCAGGGATGCCCATCTTAAGGATATGCCTGTATCTCTCTGTTTGTAATAGGCTGAATACTAAAATGCCAATTTCCCTAATAATATGATTCTAAACTTATTCCACTCATGTCACATATATATCTATTGTCTTTTATTTACTGATGACAGGCTGGCTCAAGGATGCAGCTCACTGTGCGTGTTTTCCCAACATGCCAAATAAACTTGGGTTTGCAAAAAGTTACAAACTTCTTACTCATAAAAACATTGGAATTCTCTCAAAAGTGCTCTTGAAATACACAAAAACTCAAGAAGAGTGAACACCCAGCACTCAGAGACCAAAAGCAGCAGGATGGAGAGGGTGTCAAACGTGTAATTTTTAGTGCATTAAGATGTGTCAGAGTGTGCTATGTCCACTTGATGAAAGCTGGAAATTACATGGTCCAGAAGCTTCTGTCCTATGTGGATCTGAGTTGGAGTTACCCAAAAGAGGAACTTGCAGAAGAAATGAAGAAGTCATTATTCTCAGAAAGTCACAGTGGGCAGACGTGGTGACAGACAGATACGAATGCAGCTACTGGGGTCCAGTTTCCATCTCTTCTTTCTAACGCTGGCCCCACCAAACAAAAGTGGCCCCACTAAACAAAAGCAGCCCCAAGGCAAACTTCAGGGGCACAGGCTCTCCAGACTTCTCTGTCAACCTTCTTTGCAGTTCCACACCAGCAGTCAGACACACACACAGGATATGGGGGTTTCCTGCACACTGTGACCTACCCACCTGTACCAGGTCTCCTATTAATCATGTTTAGTGACTGTTTGGCTCTCCTACTGTCCTTTCCAGACTTTCCCTTCCCCAGTTCTTCCCAACCATGTTGCGTAAGTTCAAATTTCTATGGTCAATCCCTTATTCCCACAATACTTACTGTGGCTCTTTTGTCCTCCCTGAACCCCAACTGATATACAGAAATCACTTTTCCCATGCACAATTCAACTTGTAAACCAGTGAACCTAAAAGTATTTCTCAAAGTTTAGACCAAGACCCTCCTCTATCAGAAATATCTGAGGAACTTCTCTTGCATTCATATTGCTGAGCTCTACTTCAGACCTACTGAATCAAAATCTCTAGGGATGGGACCCAGGATTCTGCATTTTAACTGGCATGTCAGGTGACTGGTGCACATACAAGTTAAAACAATTATATTATTACTAGGATTTAAAAACTTTTGATAGCATTGAAAAGAGTAGTTCAGTCCATTTCCTTATTCATTGAGCAATCACCAACCAATTGTTATGTGCTACAGACTATGTGATCATCTGGAGGTGAATAAGGTCATCTCTTGTCCTCCTGTGGCATGGATACTCTAGTATGGGAGATGTGAATGTGATAATAACAACTCCTGTTTATTAGATGCTTACTACATAGCAGTTTACATGCATTGTTTCACTAACAACCCTACAGAAAGCAGCATCTTATTATACTCATTTTCCAGGTAAAAAATTGAGCTTAAAGAATATGAGCCCAAATGTCACCTTGGACTCCTCTCTCTGTCATCCCACTGTCTGCAAAATAGTGCAAGTTGTTCATGGTGTATCGGCACCTTGGATGTGAGGGCTGAAAAGTACATCAGAGAAGTAGAAACCACAGAGTAGGAACCATTTAAATCATAAAGTGATTTTGAAACCATTCTGAAATCTTATCCACATCCTTCCCATGGCCTGGGATTTGGTAGTTATAAAGCAGAATTATTTCATTGCTCTATAAATCTGCAAATAAATGCTCTATTCTTTCTGTTCATACAGATAACTCTGTTAAGACATCCTGGTAATCCTCCCTGTTCCCCTCTGGTATGTAAAAGGTAGGCAATTTGGATATTCAGAAGCCTGATGAAGGTCTTGACTGTAAAAAGCCTGGGGCAGTAGGAGTCTGGAGGCACTACTTGCCTTGGCTGTCATAAGTTTTAACATCAGAAGTCTCCCCTCCTAATAGAGGAGAGGGTTCCTCCTGGGGAGAAGAGACTTCTGTGATCTCTATAAACCTGGGTCCAAAGCTTAAAACTTTATACTCCTCTCTCCCCTGGAGGCCCTTGACATCCTGATAATAACATAAAGTTACCAGTTACAATGAAATGGCTTTTTCTTTGTATTTTGTAGGTTACTCTGGAAACTCCAGGAGGGCATAACTGTGAGGAAAAAGGCTCGTGGGACTAGAGGAATAATCACAGGGGTTAAGAAAGTTTCCAATCCTGGGATCCAGTGATCCACTCCTAGCAAGGCTCCTATGAAGCCATGGGAGGCTCTGCACTGCTGAATTCTCGGGGTGTGCCCATCACCCAGACATGCAGTATTCCCTGGGCCCTTCCTGACTGAGCTGCTCCTCAGATTTCCCATTACCATTCCAGTACCCCTGAAACAAAGGACTTAGTATGAGAACCCCAAATTATTCCCTGTTACTCTGCCAAACATCCTTAGTACAAGGTTTGTTACACAGTCCTGAACCCCACCTGGCTCCAGTTTCTGCAAGAGGGAGCTTGCCCCTCCTTACAGATCTCCAGTGCTGACTGACCCTGGTCTTGTTCATTTGTTTTTTAATTGAAGGCATCCTACAACACCATTTTCCTAGATTCATCTTTCCAACATCAGACACTGTCTGAAACATGCCAAAGAGGGACACAGTCTTCACACACGGAGCATTATCCTCACTCAGTGTGACCTTGGTAGAAAGTTCCTGTAAGATTCCAGCATTTCAGTAGCAGATACGCCAGCCACAACGTCCTCATTCCCTGCTGGGTTTCTCATAGCTCAGCTTCGTCCTTCTTTCTTTCCCATTTCATTCTTACACGTCTTCTGTTGGAAATAGTTATGTGAGTCTTAGTTTGATGGGTGTGTAATGTTTTAACTAATAAAATTCACAGTAGGATTTCTGCTATGGACTGAATTCTGTCCCTGAATGTCATATATTGAAGCCCTAAACTGCAATGCGACTGCGTTGAGAAATAGGGCTTTTAGGAAGGAAATAAGGTTGAGGTCATAAGGGTGGGGTCATAAGGATAGGGTCCTTATCTGATAGGATTGGTGGCCTTGTAAGAAGAAGAAGAGCTTGCAGTCTTTCTTTCTCCACACATGTATACTGAGGAATGGTCATATGAGGTCACAAGCCAGGAAGAGAGCCCTCACCAGCACCTGACCATGCTGGCCCCTTATTTCAGACTTCCAGCCTCCAGAACTGTGAGAAAATAAATTTCTCTTGTTAAAGCCACTCAGTCTAGGGTATTTTATTATGACAGCCTGGGCAGACTAAGGCAGACTTGTTCTAAATTGCAATAAACTAGGCCATCAAAATATACCATGGTAGGTGCTATGATGGAGGTAAATATCTAGTACTATTGGACTAACCCTGTCTTGAGGGCAAAATGTCTTCCCAGAAGAGATGATGTCTAAAGTTGAACCATAAAGGATAAAAGGGGTGGAAAGTATCTTCAAAGGAGGAGAGGCCATGCACAAAACCCAGAGAGTAAAAGGGACCATGCATCCACTGGATACTGCAAGTATTTCAATGTGGCAGGAGAGTAGAGTGGAAAGAGATGAGTGACAAGAGGTGTGGCTGGAGTCTTGACAGGGACAGATTGAGAAGGCCTTGCAGGCCATATGAAGGAGTCTGGAATTTATTTTGACAGCAAAGAGAAAACATCTGAAGAGTTTTAAACACGGGACTGACAAAATAGGAGATACGTTATAAAGAAAGGTCATAGGATATGAGTGGCATGTCTATGTCAGGAATCAGCAAAAACAATATTATAATAATTCAACAAATATGTAATAAGTGTCTATTGTGGACCAGGAGCTCTCCTAGGTACCAGGAATATAGAAGTAAACAAAACAGACAAAAAAAAACCTATTCTCATAAAACGTATCTTCTATCATTGGGATACAGATCATAATCAAGAAAAAAAATATTGTATATCATGTGTTCAGATGGTAATTCGAGTCCAGAATGAGCGTGGGTAGGCAGGGGATGGGGGATGATGCAGAGTGACAAAAGAAGGCCTTGCTAATAAAGTGACATTTGAACAGAGACCCAAAGGAAGTGAGCAATGAGCTAGTGGAATCTGAGAACAGAGCATCCTAGGCTGAGGGAGTAGCAAGTGCAAAGGTCCTGGGGTAGGAGTAAGCCTGTCCAGGAATAGCTAGGATACCAGTACAGTGAGAGCAGTGAGAGAAGGGGGATAAGGGGAAGAGCTGAGGCCAGGAAGGCCAGCTCACGTGCCTTCTTGGAATGCATTCAAAGCCCTCAGTTCTTGGGCGGCCAGAATTATCAAGGCCCATAAAGAAATGTAGAAATGCTAGGAACAGGGCAGAAAATACACAAGTGAGCCTGGAACATGTTAGAATGTCAGAAATTTAAAAAGTACTAAAAAAGAAAAAAGAAGAAGAAGAAGACCCACAATGATGGAGGCATTGTGTCAAAGGGGCATGGAGCCAAATACAATGGCTGTTTCTGGAATACCTTGAGCAACAAAATTAATTTTTAAAAAGAAGAAAAAGAAGTATAGAGGCTGGGCATGGTGGCTCATGCCTGTAATCCCAACACTTTGGGAGACTGAGGTGAGAGGATCACTTAAGCCCAGGAGTTTGAGACTAGCCTGGGAAACATAGTGAGACAAATACAAAATTAGCCAGGTGTGGTGGGGCACTCCCGTAGTCCCAGCTACTCAGGAGGCTGAGGCAGGATTGTTTGAGCCGAGGAGTTGGAGGTTGCAGTGAGCTGTGACTGAACCACTGCACTCTAGCCTGGGAAACATGGCAAGACCCTATTTCTAAAAAACAGGGAAAAAATATGTATAGAGAATATAAACTCTTTCCCATCTATATGCCACATCGTGTCACCTGGGCCCCAAAGCAGCTCTTGAATCCAAAGTTTCTCTCATCTGCTTCATCTTCCAATCTCCCCTGGCTCCTGCCCCCAAACACATTTTTTTCTTCCTTTTATACACTCACCCACACACAGGATTCTATGAACATCTGAGAATACACACACACACTTGGAAAAGAGAGTGGAGCTATCTACACCAATAGTTTCCACACCCCTCCCCATGAACAGTGCCAGGAGGTGAATTTTCACCAATTCCTTAATGAAATAAGAAAAAAGAACAAGGAAACTATAGTGAGTTTTCATAAAACTAAATGTATCCCATTTAAATATCTGTTTTTATTAGCTGCTGTAACGAATACCAAATATCTTAGTGGTTTAACACAATGAAAGTATATGTCTTCTTATGCTGGTAATTAAGTTATTGCCTCTTTACTGGAAAGCCATTTTTCTATATTCAGTTTTGTGACAGTGGGTCTGGAATTCTGCAAAGCATATTCGACTTTGCCAACTTCTTCCTGAAGGTTCTGCCAGTAGCAGGTTCTGGAAGGAGACTGCAAGAATGGAGGAGAGATAAGGGACATGCTGCTTCCTGGGCTGGTTTTTAGTTTTGGTTTGTTGCTTGTTAATGGTTCCGGGGGAGGTTGTTTTGTTTTGCTATACCTGTAAATGTCACTTGGGCACTACTTCTTTACCTGGTGACAGTCCCTGGTTCTAAAAGCAGTTGGTTCCAGTTTCCAGTTTTTTCCCTAATCCCAGAATAAGCATCATGGAGCTCCCAGAGATATCAGCACTGCTGTTCAATGTCCCCTCCTCAGAGGTGTGAGTCAACTCTGCATTACTCACTTGTAATCCAGTAAGAATATTCTGGGTCAACAGGTGGCCTTCCACCCATTTGGTGGAAGGGTCGTTTGGGTACTTGGGCTCCCTGTGATTCGGTCACCACTAGGCCCTTGGGTCCTATGCAGGATGCTTAGTGTCTGTCCTATAGATGGGAAGCTAAAGAGAGGAGAATTGTGTGGGAGGTTTTTATAGGCTGGGACGGCAAGTGATGAACCTCGTTTGTGCCACATCCCGATGGCTCATCTCACTACGAGGGAGGCTGGGAACTGTAGTCTGGCTGTGGCTTCTGTTGAACGTGCAGCAATCACTGCCACACAATGTCCTTCCTGTACTTGGGTGGTAAACTGTCCATTCCTAAAGCACAGTGATAGTAGATGGTGAGGTTTTGTGTTGGCAGAATAAAAGGTTACTTTCCCCCACCGAAACCTCACCTCCCAGTGGGTCCATGAAAACCAAAAGGCTGAGAACATTCCATCCTAATACAGCTGGCCTCAGATGCCTTCTTTGTGCTCATATAAGTGATGGCCCAGATCTGTTTATGCTCATTTCCAAGTTATAATCTCTTTTCTTCTGAACACAGTGAGGCATAAAGCTTCCCTCTCATTATTATATGGAAAACCTATAATCATATGTCATCCATGATTCCTAACATCAGGGTTATAATTATTCTCTAGTGAACTCACATATTTGAGGCTCCAAATGAGCGCTGAAAGTGGGGCAGTATTATCCAAGTTCCTTGACCTCCCTAGAAGAAATTTTCTATTTACAAAAGAAAAATTTTACAGAGTTCAGAATAATTTCTTAGCTGATTTTGATACTGTACTCATTTTTGGCTTTTGTTAAACTTGCTTTCCAGATAGTTGTTTAAGTTCACATATTTGTACATGGCTCTTTTATTAATCTTTGCGGACTATGAAATCGTTTGCAAAAATCTTCACTTACCCATAAATTACTGTCTAATCCATACAAAGTACAGGTCGCTGAAAAGGTACAGGTTACCTGAACTTTAGAAAGCAATGCCGATTATGAGACCCTCTAAATATCTTAGGATATCTCTTGCCTGCAAAATAAAAACAAGCTTAGAATTAAGTGCTAATTCTACAAAAATAATAATAATAACTGAACCAGAAGTTTTCAGGGTGAATAGGCAGAACCCTCATAATTAGTGTAGGAAGAATTTTTAGAACCCAAACCAGGACTGTGGGAGGTAAAGAGGCATTTAATAGTCTTTCTCTCTCTTTATATTCATAACAAAGCCATTTAAAAGGAAAAACATTATGCCAGCAGGGTTTTTTTAAAAAGATAATTACTGTTTTCCTTTGTCTGTAACTCTTGCAAATCCAGAATGAGCTGGATTGTGTCTGGCTACGGCAAGAATATCTTTAAGTTCCAACTGCCTTGTGTACACCAAAACCAATGCTTTAGAAACCTCCAGAAACCTACTCCTATTCCTTTTTTTTTTTTTCTCTCTCTCTCTCTATCTTATTCAAAGACACCAACAACCAACCAGTCCCTGGAGCTAGAAAATGTAGAATCATTCTTGGCAGCCTCCTGTGTGTTGATTCTTTACACATTATCTATCTTTGCAAGCATAATATTATATTGTATGTATTTATTATACTTTTATTTCTTTCCAGCTACTTAAACACAGGAGCCATTCCTTAATTATTTTTGTATTTCTAGTGCTTAGCACAGCACGGGCACATTGTAAGCACTAAATAACAGGATTTGAACTTCTTCCTTTATCCTACCTCTTTATTTTGAGTCACCAAGCACTGCCAATTTTTTATCTAAAATGTCTCTTGAACCCATCCTCTCCCTCAACATTCCGACCTCACTTGGACTATCTGGAATATTCAATCAACTGTTCAGCCTCCAGACTCAACCCTCCTGCATATTAATCCTCCATAAAGGTGCCAAGTTATCTTTCTAAACAGTTACCCTTTCGTCTAAAACCTTCCATAGCTCCCTAGTGTCTGGAATAGGGTCCAAATTTCTTAGTATGATTCTCAGCACAGCCTAACTGCCCAAGTTTTTCTCCAACTGCCCAAGTTTATCTTTAAACCTGTCCCTGTGTGTTCTAAGCTCTAACCCTCTCAAACAACTTTATTTAATCAAGAAATAACTTAACTCAGTAGGTCCCTGTGATTTGTTCTTTCTCTTTCCATTTAGAAATTTTCTGCTTTTCTCAGACCATCCATCAAGATCTAGATTAAATGTCATTGCTTCTATGAACACAAATTCCCCAGACAACTTAGAAAACATTGCTTATATATTCTCCTCCTCCACCAAATTCTGTGCCCCTTAAGGTAGGAACCATGTCTAAATTATTTTTATACACCTGTTACCCAATTCAGTTTCTGACATATCAACATCCATAAATCTTTGTTGAGAATAATTGCCAACCAGTACCTAGGATGTTTAGTATTCTGAAATGCTAATTGGCACCTTCACTTCCATGAAGGTTAGGTTTCTGTTCCTCAGGACTAATCCCTGCATATGTTATTTTAGTCTAATTTGGAAACTCTCCAGCAGCTCTGATCAAAGTCATAGGCATGAAAACCTCCCTTTTTAAGGAACTAGAGAAAGCAAATTTACTTCTTTGGGGGAAAAAAAAACTGCTGGTGTTATAAATCAGAGAAAAATTCAATTAACATAGTCCTTCTTATTGGTGACAATGATAATCCTACCTTGACATAATTTCTAAACCACTCCCATATACATTATCTTACTTGTTAACACATCGACATAGCTGGATATAGTCATGTCTTAGAAGGAGTCGGTTGGAGTTAAGGATCTGACTGGCATCAGAATGGTGAGGGTTCCTGCCCTAGCTCCTCCATGTATGAAAATATGGCCTTGGAAACATTACTCAACCTCCTTAAGCCTCCTTAAACCCACGTTTTCACACTAGTAAAAATAGGAATAACAGGCTGGGTGCAGTGGCTCACACCTGTAATCCCAGCACTTTGGGAGGCCAAGGCAGGAGGATCACCTGAGGTTGAGAGTTTGAGACCAGCCTGACAAACATGGAGAAACCCCGTCTCTATTAAAAAAATACAAAAATTACCCGGGCGTGGTAATGCATGCCTGTAATCCCAGCTACTAGGGAGGCTGAGGCAGGAGAATCGCTTGAACCTAGGAGGCAGAGGTTGCGGTGAGCCGAGATCATGCCATTGCACTCCAGCCTGTGCAACAAGAGTGAAACTCAGTCTCGAAAAAAAAAAAAAAAAGGAATAACAATAGTAAGAATAATTATTGAAAGTTTCCTACATGCGAATACTATTCTAAGTAGTTTCCATGTAATTCATTTAATCCTAACAAAAAGTAAAGAAAGTACCATGAACTGCCTTTAACGAGGAGACAGAGGCACAACTAGCAAATGGTAGGGCCAGGATGGGGACCTGTACTCCTAACCACTATATAAACCACCTCAGAGATTTTTATAAGTATTAAATGAGATCAAGAACATGCAGTCTTCAGCACAAAGGCTGAAACAGAGTCAGTCTTTAATAAACACTGGTTGTTATTATTATCATTATTATTATATAGGAGAACAATGGCAATCACTCAGCTGAACTATAATAAAATCAAATCACCTACCTACACCAGGTACCAAAGTAGAATTGTCCACTTTTCTACAGCCTCAGAAAGCAAACAAAGAGAAAATCAAGTGGCAGCAAACTGAGAGTGTAGCTATGCAGGCACTTTACAAGTAGCAGATGCTTCAGATAATGGGCAGCAGTGTTGTGGCAGAAGGCAGGAATTTTTTGGAAGGTGCACATCACTTGCATGTAGTTGTCCAACTCCCCATGTGAGGGTGGCTCATTTTTCACATTAATAATTGACCCAATCCTATGGAAAAGTGAAAAGGGCCCTAGATTGGGATTTTCTATAGACATAAATCACATGATAATCCTGTCTGTGTCCACATGGGAGCCAGCATGGTACAGGACAAAACCACCCAAACCCAGCCTACTCCACTCTATACCCCAAGGACCCTTAGAAGGGACTCCCTCTTCAGATTCCACTACCTTCCACGTTTTATCATTTGGCCTATTTCCTTCCCTCCAAACCACATGGATTTACCTTTCTTATGATTTTACTAAAAACAAATAACAGCAACTATTATGGAAAATAAGAGATTGATTACTAACTTAATGAATATGTGTTACTATAGATATATTATATGTCAAGCAAAGATCTCTGCTGAGGGAAGCCATCCAACAGAACTTTCTGTGATGGTATTCTACATCTTTACTGTCCAATATGGTAGCCACTAGCCATGTGCATATTGCGCTTTTGAAATATACTTACTCAAACTGAGAAACTACGTTTTTAATTTTATTTAACTTTAACAAATTTAAATAGCCATATATAGCTACTGACTACCTTATTGGACAGCACAACTCTATAGACTATCATCTCCTTCTTTTATTAATAATTGGCACAAAATGGTCACTCAGAGTTTAAGACTTGACCTCCCAAAACAACCAAGAAAGTAAACTCGGCCGGGCACGGTGGCTCATGCCTGTAATCCCAGGACTTTGGGAGCCCGAGGCGGGTGGATCTCAAGGTCAGGAGTCCAAGACCAGCCTGGCCAATATGGTGAAACCCCGTCTCTACTAAAAATACAAAAAATTAGCCAGGTGTGGTGGTGCGCACTTGTAGTCCCAGCTACTCAGAAGGCTGGCAAGAGAACCGCTTGAACCCAGGAGGCGGAGGTTGCAGTGAGCTGGGATCATGCCACTGCACTCCAGCCTGGCGACAGAGCGAGACGCAGTCTCAAAAAAAAAAAAAAAAAAAAAAGAAAGTAAACTCAAAGGATGCTGGCCCTCTGAAGGCAAGATGATCTATAGAACTTTAGTCCCAAACCAGATGTTTCTAAAATTTGCTTCTGAAAGGACTGGAAGGCTAACCCTCAAATTGGTCCTAGGCCACTTAATCACTATTCAGTTCAAGTACCTGAAACAATTACTTCTATCAGTTCTAAGTAAAGATGGGCTGCTGACATTTAAGCAGCAGGAAAAAAAAAATTGGAATTAACTGCTGCAATCACAGCAAGTACTGAAAGAATAAATTAAAAATCAAGTATCACCCAAAGAAAAGCAAAATAATTTGTCTCTTTTTTTCTCTTACAGAAACATCTCATTTAATCATGCTTTGGGCTGGGAACTGGAGTGATTTGCTTTCCTATAAAAATGGATTTATTAAGATACGAGGGAAGGTGGCAAACTTTGCAAGGTGTGTAAAGGGCAAATGCCAAGCCTTTGTGAGGATGTAAGTGTGGGCAAAGAATGTGGGGCTTGGATCTTGAGAGCAATAGAAAGCTATTGAACCGTGTTGAGGCAGGAAAAAGACATGACCAGTTTGGGGTTTCATAAAGGTGCCCATGACTGCCATGTGAAAAAACTTTTGGAGGGAGGCCAGAGGACTGATGGCAGGAAAGCCAGAGAGGAGTGGGAAGATTCAACAGGTACTTAGGGCAAAATTGACTGGGATTCATGTTTGGATAAAGGGTGAGGGGATAGCAGATAAAGAGCAAGAGCTTCCTGGTTTTTATAGCTGAATGGAGGAAGTCCTATTCCTTGAGATAAAAACACCAGAAAGAACCAGATCTCGTGGGGAAGGAAGGGAAGAATGAGTTTCATTTTGGACACTTAATGCTTGAATTATATGACAAAAACAGCAAGGATAGGAAATAGACAGTTGGACATGTGGATCTAGAGTTCGAAGAAGTGGCTTAATCTATACTACTAATTCCATTTTTTTATCGAAGAATAAAAATGGTAGATTGATGGGATGTGTCACTTTTGCACCCATTAAAGATGATGCCCAGAAGTAACATAAATAGAGCAAAGAGGACTTCTCCAGAATCTAGACTGTATAGGTCACAGCTTTCTCCTCACAGAACTTTGGACTGCCCATCCCCTCCAGAAAAGACTGCAGTCAGCATGTATTTTGGGAACACTACGGTCTGTGGTCTTGGTCTTGTTCACACTACTAAAAGACATCTGCTTTGGCCATACTTGCCAACCCTTTATTCTGCTTTTTAGGCCGGAATAGTCTTAAAATTTCAGCACTTCCTGACTTTTGAGGCCATCTGCTAGCCACATCCTCAATCCACAGCCACATGAACCCTGAGCCCAGAAGGTATAATTAGCCTAGGGCCTGGGATCACACAGCCCAGTGTCCACAGGGGCCATGCTTAAACTGAGCTACTACCTAGCTCCATCCTGCCATTGTCATGCAGAAATACCCAGTATTGCTGGAGTTTATAAAAGAAACTGAAAATGTGGAAGGGTAGGGGTAGGGGGCAAAAAAAAAAAAAATGAAATATCTCTACTCTTAAATGTTTAGTTCAAATCTTTTTAAAAGACCAGCTGGGCCAAACAAAACTATATATTGGGTACAATGTACACTGCTCAGGTGACAGATGCACCAAAATTTCAAATCATCACTAAATAACTGATCCATGTAACCAAAAACCGCCTGTTCCCCAAAAACTATTGAAATAATTTTTTTTTTTTTTAGACGGAGTCTCGCTGTCTCCCAGGCTGAAATGCAGTGGCATGATCTCGGCTCACTGCAAGCTCCACCTCCCAGGTTCACGCCATTCTCCTGCCTCAGCCTCCCAAGTAGCTGGGACTACAGGTGCCCGCCACCATGCCCAGCTAATTTTTTGTATTTTTAGTAGAGACAGGGTTTCACCATGTTAGTCAGGATGGTCTCAATCTCCTGACCTTGTGATCCGCCTGCCTCAGCCTCCCAAAGCACTGGGGATTACAGGCGTGAGCCACCGCGCCCGGCCAAAAATTTTTAAAAACCTCTCACAGAGCCCGCTTGGACCCAGGGCCATCAGTGATTGACTTTTGGTCCCACCAATGCACGTGCACAACATTCACATTCATATTAATTCATTAATTCTCCTTAACTGATGCTCCTTCCTCAGAATGCATCCCAACACAATTCTCCAGGGAGATAATAATCCACATATTCAGAGCTGCACATGAGTTGAAACTTATTTGCCATGTCTATTCTCCTTTGCAGGAACATGTGAACACCACATGTTCCAAATAAAATCCTCCTTTCCTCCTTTCAAAAAAACCAAAACTGCCTTGGGGCACACACACAAATGACAGAATCCTTTCGGTGGCTGCTTCTATTGGCACATATTGTGTTACCAGTCTATAAGCTATTCCTATTTCCTTTGCACCTTGTCTCTGCTCAGCGACCTCTTAAGTGCCACCGTAGTTCAGTTAAATCAACATCTTTTTCTATTCACTCTTGACCTTCACTTCTCTCAACTTTTTTTGAAATGTCAACAGCATTTTCCTATACCTTGTCCTGATTAAAAGTGAGAGAAACCTGGATGCTTTTCTCTGCCTAATTCTCTAATGTGAGGATAACTGATGGAAGTGACTTTTTGTACACTGATCTCAGAACTCAAGGGTGGTAGGGAGGAATCTGCAAGTTCCTGTACTTCTTTCTGCAAAGTGACTCACTTTGTTTTCACCTGAGTTTAAATGAATTGAAGAAAGGGTTCCCATTCATTCCAATTAGTGAAAAAGCAATCATTTTCCCATGTAAAATTAAAGCTTTAGCAGGCACCTTTCCTTGCGAAGGCATGAAGCTGAACACTTTTAATTTAAGCCAAACAAGAGCATTAAGAAGATGTATTCCTTTAGAGCTATACTCCATCAGGGGCCTTGAATGCCAGTTATTGGCTTTTTAGCCAAAGTAAAAAATCTTTCTGCTATTGTTTTTATGGATCACTATTAAGAAAAGAATAGCAGTTAGTTGATTATCAAGTTTCCTTTGGTGCGGGCAGAGGGAGGAGGAATTATAGTCTCATGTCGTACATAGCAGTTGCATTCGTTTGCTTGGGCTGACCTAACAAAGTCCCACAGACTGGATAGCTTGAATAACAGAAGCTTATTTTCTCACAATGCTGGAGGCTAGAAGTCTGAGATTAAGGTGTGGGCTGGGTTGATTTCTTCCGAGGCCTCTGTCCTTGGCTTGTAGATGAGTATGTTCACAAGGTCTTCCTCCATGCATGCCTGTGTCCTAATCTCTTCTTATAAATTCAACAGTCATTGTAGATTAAGGCCCACCCTAATAACCTCACTTTAGTTACCCCTTTAAAGACCCTGGCCTTAGATACAGTAACATTCTGGGGCACTAGGAGTTAGGACTTCAACATATAATTATAAGAGGACACAATTCAACCCATCACAGGTGCCTTGAGCATAACTTACACTGGAGCACCATGTAAGTTTTAGTGAGAAGTGATGGAAACTAATTCATGCCAGTAAGAACGAAAAATGAGTAATAATAATAATGAATACAAGAAAGAAAGAAAATGCTCTAAGGCAGAAATGCAACCCTGCTTCAGAAAGGGACAGGAACTAAAAAAAACTCCTAAGCTACATTTCCTCTCACTGCTTCCTCTGCAAATAGGCTTATTCTCCCTCCACAGGTATGCTTTCTTTTTTTCCTCATTCCATAAGATAGAAAATGGTCCCCACTCTTTCGAGCTTGCATAGAACAGGCCCTGCCATTTATCCAGACAGACTGGAAAGACTTCAGTCCTGATTTCCAGGCAACAGAATCGGATTGCCCCAGCCTGGGTTAGGTGTTCACCCTGATCCAATCAGTTACAACTAGGTGGCACTGTGGCCACCTATTTTAAACATGGCTGCTTTGGGCTCATCTTTGTGAATTGGGATGATTCACTTGGAAAAGGAGATACAGATCTATGATCACTGGCCTGTAAGTAGGCTAGATGCTCTAAACTTGTCACTATGTGGGTAAAAATATTTTTTTTCTGCATGTCCCATTCTTTCTTGTTAGACTTCAGCACCTATTTCTTCTGCTAACTAGCTTAGCTAGATATTTCTCTTCTTGAAGCATAGACAATAGGTAACTATAGCAACTGGTTGTACAGGTAATTGCTATAAAACATTGCCCAGGGGTTAGAAAGCCATGGAGACACTGAACCCTACATTCGACTGAGGCATTAGTTCACAGCTAAGGTGAGTTTCTTGTCTCCAGAACAATCAATGTTTTACCTTTAAAAATAAAGAAAAGTGTGTGCACCACAATTCTGCCTGAAAGCTCGGGCATTGAAGTGGGCCCAGGAGGTGCAATTTCAAACAAGACTCACCTTTTCATCTTCCAGGTCCGTGACTTGGTTAGGTCTCAGTTGCCTCTAATCTTCTCCTTTGTCATCGTGGCTTCAGCTGTCCAGCATTTCCAGGGACAGGCTAATGAGGAAAGACACAGGTCAGTAACATCACCTTTAGATCTAATAAGACAGTATTCCCTCAAATGCAGTTAGCTCATCCTCAAAGGTCCAGCCAGCATCATAGGCATCCTGGAATCCTTCAGTTCCTGTTGATTTCCTCCTTGTCTATTCACTGTCACCTGGAATTCACAGACACAAGGAAAATATCCTTTCCTCTCATCCCCTATTTTAAACCAAACATAGCATTGGAGTGACTTACTTTAGAATGGCTAAGATAAAGAAACAGACATCATCCAGGGACTTATGGGCTCATGTCTTCCCTTGACAAAAGAGTTTGGGAGACAGCTCAGTGATTAAGCACATGGATCCAGGAGCGAGGCTACCTAGGCTGAAAGTCCAGCTCTGTCACTTTCTAGCTCTACCTTCAGCATGTGATTAACCTCTCTGTGCTTCTTCAGTTTTCTCAGAGTGGCTAAAATGATTAAATGAGATAATATACGTAAAATGCTTAGAACTATGTAATTTATTGTTATTTGGGTATTTTTTTAACTTCATTTTATTTTTGAGACAGAGTCTCACCCTGTTGCCCAAGCTGGAGTGCAGCAGCATGATCCCAGCTCACTGCAACCTCTGCCTCCCAGGTTCAAGCAATTCTCATGTCTCAGCCTCCTGAGTAACTGGCATTACAGGTGTGCACCACTACCCTCGGCCAATTTTGGTATTTTTAGTAGAGACAGGGTTTCGCCATGTTGGCCAGGCCAATCTCAAACCCCTGACCTCAAGTGATCTGCCCGCCTCAGCCTCCCAAAGTGCTGGGATTACAGGCATTGAGCCACTGCGCCCAATTTATTGTTATTTTTATTGCTACAGCTATAATATAAAATCTTACCTGAAGAACCACTAAGGGTTGGACTATGGCAAAATGTAGGGAAGTTCCTCTCCTCTTACTATTCAGGGCCATCCTGCCTCCTTTTATTGCATTCTCCTACCATTCAAGCATTTGGGAGCCTCATGCAAATTTCCCCTACCAGCAGCACACACCCAGATCTCACTCCTATGGTAACAGCACTCTCTAGATCTTGTCTTTTACCCTTCCCTTACCTTCATTCCCCATTCTGTTTTCTCATCACAAGGTCAATGTCCAGTCCTTATCACCAATGCACACTGTCATCACCAGTAGGAGTAAAAAAGAAGACAGAACTCCTCAGGATCCCTAAATGACCAAAGGCAAAACCAAGGTTAAATAATGAGATTGATCCCTGAGGCAATGCTAGAACTTATCGAGAGCTCCAGAACTCAGAAGGCACAGTTCCTTTCCACAGTGCCACAGGGCCAGCCTTGTAGCTCAAAGTTGCTTGTAGCTGCTTTTTCAACTGAGCATCTGCCTCCTCATTGGTCTTCCAGCTCTTGATTGGCCTCACTTTAATCCACCTTTGACACTTCCATAATCTTTCTAAAACTCAAAATCTAATCATGTCACTCTTCTACACCAGACCCTTAATGCAATGTCCTAAATGCATACTGCCATCCCTGTCCTTCACACATACCTGGGTGAAAACCCATCATACTCATTTGCACTTATTTATTTACTTATCATTGCCATCCCCCCCCCCAATAGATTATGAGCTTCTGGAGATGAAGGATTCTGTCTATTCATCTTTGTATTCCCACTATCCAGGAGAATAGAAATTATAGTTCAATGGTAAGTGGCATGGTTCCAAATCAAATTATCAAAATATCATAGGAGTTCAGAGGTGAGAAAACAATCTAGAACACTTAATACAAGTCCTTTATTTACATGCATTTCTCTCTGAGAAAAATACCCTCAATATCTTCTGTTCACTGTCTTACAAGTTTTTTCTACTTTTTGTGCCATAACTCCCACCCATCCCTGTCTACAGCCATCTATACAATTGGTCATGCCAATTATACTAAGTATCTCCTAAAGCTGTCCTTTACCTTCTAGACTCACTACAATTATCTCAGTTTGGGTCCCCTTACTCTCACCTGGACATTGACATCAGCCTCCCTTTTTGGTCACATGACAAATTCTTTCTCCAATCCACTCACCCAACTCTTTCTAAAATAAAAATTTTTTTTTTCCAAGACAGAGTCTTGCTCTGTCACCCAGGCTGGAGCACAGTGGCGTGATGTTGGCTCACTGCAACCTCCACCTCCCAGGCTTAAGTGATTATCTTGCCTTAGCCTCCGGAGTAGCTGGGATTACAGGCGCCCGCTACCACGCCCAGCTAATTTTTGTATTTTTAGTAGAGACGGGGTTTCACCATGTTGGCCAGGCTGGTCTCCAATTCCTGACCCTGTGATCTACCCGCCTCAGCCTCTCAAAGTGCTGGGATTACAGGCGTGAGCCACCACGGCCGGCTCTAAAAATTTAATTAGATCACAAACCACACTCTCTTCCAGAAAAAATATTCGAAGGATCCCTATTGCCCAACAGGTATATTTTTTAAATTCTCACATGTCCCAGGAGCCCCCTTTGGCCTCTACCTCCTTTACAGTCTCATCTCCTACCACTCCACTTACCCATCAGCCTGCACTCTAGCCACGGAAAACCACAGGCCATTGGTATACTGGTCCAGGGTTTCTGTGCAGTGAGTCATTTCTTGTAAGTGAAACATCTCCATCATCCACCCCTTAACCAGTTAACCTGGTTAACTTCTACCCATTTTTCAAGACCCAACTCAAAAGACAATTCCTTCAGAAACCTTCTATGATTCCCTTCTGAAATGATCAATTACACCTTCTCTATTCACTTAACACAATATACATGACAAAGTACTCTAAATATTTGCCAGTCTATTTCTCACTTTACTGTAATATCCTTGAGGTCAGGGAACATTTCTTATGAATCTTAGCATTTCTTCAGCATGAAACCCGGTATCCAGAATAGAGTATGAGCTATAATAAATATCTGATGAGTGAGGGAGGGAGGGAGGGAGGGAGAAGGTGCTATTCTTTATATACAAAGGTGATACCACTACTATCCCATCAATAGATTATACCTTTGTATATGTTTTCCAACATTGGGAGGGTTTACATGGATACATTGCCATTCCATCATCCTTTTTACCCTGGGATCAATGATTCCAGCATGGCTGAAGGCATTAAACAGACTCTGTGCAGGGACAAAACCAACTGGCTGTACCCAAATGGAAATCCTGACCTTGACCTCCTCATCAGTATCACTCACTCCCCAGCTGATCCTTGGCCTTACCATAAGGTCAGCGTGCAGCATAGCTTGGCGTAGCTTGGGACTGAGAAATGTAAGAGCAATCTTCTTCAACCTTCAGCGAGACTGAGAGCACATGTGCAACATGTCAATGGATGAAGTTTTCCTTCCTGCCTTCCTCTAATACAGCAAAGCAAACATGGTGATGGAATAAAGTTGAAACTAACAACTTGAGTGGTTGATTAAGCTCCTCAGCATCACTCCTCTGCTAATCAACTACAAAAGCCTTCAATATACACACCAAAGTCAGAGAGATTTTGTCACTTAATTACTATAAAATAACCCCACAGGTTAATGCATGCTTTAATCTCGAAGTAGTGGCAGTAACCATTTTGTTATTTATATCAATTGCATAGTTAGAATCAAATGCAGAGATTTCAGGCCCCTTAATGTGAGATAACATCTGATTTAATAGGACAGAAATAGCATATCCTTCCATCCACCCCCAATACCTCTCCCTCAAAATTTGACCTACCATTTTACCATGGTCTGAAATTCTAGAACCAGAAATGTACTCCTTTGATCTTTTTTTCTGTTAAAATGCAAATAACATATAGGATGGATCATATATTAAACCATGGTTAACGCGTATGCCTTACATTTGGCAAATTTAGCCATTTTTCCAGGGCCCTGATGTTTACAGGGAATTGAAAGACTACTGGAGGCAATAACCTGAGTGGTTGAGGCACGTGCACTGTCAAGGGTAGAAATAAAAGGGGCAAAAGAGGAATGAGGGTCTGAGAAAGGAAACCTCACCTGTTTTATATCTGTACTTCCTGCTTGACTTTGATAAAATTGCGGAAAATTGCATGGATCTAAGAGGTCAAGGAGTCTTTATCTAGCATCCTATTTTGCAGGATTGAGTTACTGAAATTTTCTTCCTCTGCATCACTAGCATCCCAAGAATGAAGCAGCATGAATTCCAACTCAGCGTTTCACTTTATACAGTGTGCATATTTCTGACAAGTTAGGGGTAAATAATTTTTATAAATCAAATCATAACATAGGTTTGCCAAGTGAGAATTGGTGAGGAGATCCTCTTGAATAGTAAAAATGTCTTGACTCTTTTGTATAAATGCATGCAATTATAAATCAGGCTTGCTTGCCAAGAGGCACACCTACATTGTATGTTCTCTGTTTCTTTCTCTCTCTCTCTCTCTTTCTCTGAACGTTTAGAACTCTATAACACTACTGATTTAATTTAGAAAATGCCTGCTCAGGTGAGCAAGATTCTGCAGGAACATCCTGATGATATCATTAAGCCTACATGAGATACACAGGGTAAACATTATCATCCCCAAACTGGTAAGAGATTTGTTTGTCTGATAAGTTAGTAGAGGAACAAGAAATCAATCTCCTTTCATGGAAAATAGAAGAGACCCCAGGAACTAGAAAAGAGAGTTGGCTTTTAGAGTGAGAACAACTGATAAAAATATATTTGAACAAAAGCCTCAGTTTCACCAATATTGTTAAAAGAAAGTTAAGAATAATGACGGTATGATCATTGTGTTATATGAAGTTAGCCACTCAAGTTGCTTTCAACATGGATTAACAATCTAATGGGTGTTGTGACTAGAAAACTATGTCTTGTATCTCATCAACTTAACTTGGCTTGCACAAAATAATGGTTAAGAATATTTTCTCTGAAAAAAAAAAAAAAAAAAACATGGCTTTTTTAGGTGGTGTCTGGGGACCAAGTGAATCATATCCCCAAAGAACTTGGAAACAAGGAGCCCCACTGACAGATAAGTCAACACTGAACAGGAGGAAACAGAAAGCCTACTGGATTCTTTACTGAAACATAATCAGTGATTTGGGGACCTCACCCTGACCCAAAAGGAACATTTTTCAAAACTATTTGCATCCTTTTGCTCTAAATCCTTAACAATCTACTGATTAATAATGTAGCTCAAGTCCTGCAAAAGGAGCCATCCAGGCACAGAGAGAAGTCATCCCTCACTGTAAATAATCACATTGGCATTCCAGTTTATTCATCAGTCTCATGTGGACTGCTTTAGTGAGTATCCATCACCTTAAACCTGATCAATTGTGAGTATGCTGATAAGGCCCAATATCTGTACCACATGAACAGTGGTACATTCACAAAACTGCTGCTGTGTGATACGTGTAAGCTGTTCTATGGCTTTATCCTTTCCTTGGACATTGATCTTTCCCCAAACTTTTCACCACTGTTTAAAATTTGATTTCCTTTAATGGTATTACTTAAAAAGCAGTATCTATAAGATACCAAATGAGCTACAGGATCTATTTTACCTGGTCAGTGAAAACTCAGTTGAAATTATTTAGCATCACTGGCAGAGATGCAAGCTTAGACTTGACTACGATCTTTAATAACACCTGAGGTTAAATATTTTTAGTGCAACAGACCCCTTTCAGAATCTGATGAAAGCTATAGATCCACTCGACATAAAACTGCACAATCAAAAGATTTGGCATTTTGAACGGTCCATGGATCCCATCTACAGACTGCTATATAAGAAGTCTGATCTTATGCAAATCCCTCATGTTGTAATAGGGAAACTGAGGCTCAGTAAAGCGAAATGACTAACCCAAGGTTGCACAACTCGGGTTTAATGCCTTCCCAAGAACAATGGGTTTAGGTGAAATATCAAATACCTTTCAATGGCAGAAAGAGAATTAGGCCTTTAACATCTCCAAACCAAGTTATATGACCAATCACTTTTTCACTATATAACAAATCATACTGACATCAAGTAGACACTTCCCATAATGTGAAAGCCAGCTGGTCAATTCTGCTTGGGTACCAGCTTCCCCTGGGACATGAAAAGGGATCCAGAAGGATCTCATCACACAGCTGACCCCCATTCTCTAAGCCAAACTGCATTTTGCCATTCAACTCTTGGCTCTTTATTTTTGTCTTTAAAAGTGGGAAAGCAAAATTGACCAACCCAATCTGGAAAAAATTCCAGGCGTTATCAGTGCTTCCTCCTGCAGCCTGGAATATATTAGGCAAACTTCAGGTTTGTCCAGTGATTTCAAACAATTATAAGAAGAAACTCACAATTGGCTAAAAATAGCCAATTTATGCAAACAGGCTAAGCTGGTTAAGGAAAACAGACAATCTAAAGGATCTAGGAAGGTTTTTTCGTAAAGCAATTTCTCTGTGAAACATTAACCAACATTTCTATGGTGTTCTGTATTTTATGAAGTGATTTCAGATGCATGCATATATCAATCTAGCAAAGAAAAGGAAAGAAGCAACAAATCCTTTGTGTGGTGCCCTTATATCAAATATTTCACTTCTAAAACAACTCAGAAGTACTATTCTTACCCATAAGGAATCAGACTCAGAGTGGCTAAGTAATTTGAACAAAGTCATATAGTAATTAGCAAAGCCAGGACTCAAATCCTGATATCTGAGTACAATCCTATTTTCTAGACAACAGATGGAGATTATGGGAAGTTAAGTCATTGGCCTCACATATCTAGCAACTAAGTTATAGGGCCTATATTTGAATTCACATCTCTAGATCCTAAAGCAAGCATTCATTCTATTGAGTCAGTATTTCTCAACATTCTCTGCAAAGCACCTAAATGAAAATCACCCAGTTACCTGTCCTTTAGAGAAAACAGGTCCAGCATCAGGGTTCTAAAAGCATGACTTCTAGACCAGCTGCATCCCCATTACCTGTGAACTTGTCAGAAACACAAATCCCCGGGCCCTACCCTAGACCTATAGAATCAGAAACTCTAGAGGTGAAGTCCAGTAATCTGTAGTTTGATATGTCATCCAAGTGATCCTGATGCCTGCTAAAATTTGAGAACCACTGATCTAGCAGCATCCTTTCCCTTAATCTCCTCCATGAAAGCAACTCATTCACACCTGAACCTTTTCTAGGGCAAACAATTATAACACTTGTAACCTCACCTTAATAACCATCGAAAGGTACTCAGTATTTGATCTATGCCCGTAATACTCGGGAAGGCACCAAATCCCTTGGTGTTTGATCACACCACCAAAATTTCATTTTAGTCTCTTTCTCAAACACAATTAAAAAACAGAGGACTCAAGGGTCTGCTGAAAGAATTAAACCTGAACATGTCCTCAGAAATTGACTTCTAAAGAAACGAAAAAGATTCCAACAATATCATTTGCATAAGAGCATTTCACGACTCTGAACAGAGTTTTTTCATGCAGAAACTTACATTAGAAAATGGAGTTTCCTCCAAGAGAATCCACCAGGGTGTGTTGTAAGGCTTTGTTTTAGAGCTGAGCTTGGCAACATGACGTTGGTGTGTGGGCTTTTCTCAGTTTCCTTATTTCTTGGTGGGTGGTTTGTTTTATGACACTAAATGTTCTTCTCAAGCAGGTGTTGGCTAGATGGAATAAAACTAATTAGTCTGATGTTGGGGAAAACCGGGTCTAGAAGACTGAAATTCAGACTGTGTTTGTGTTATTTGCTTGAATTACATGAGTGTTCTAACAAGGGGTGAAAATGTATTACTTTTCCTGGAGTATGCTACATTTTATCAAGGAAAACACAATCAGTAGTACCAAATACAAGTATAATGTTAGCTGGTTAAACCAACAAGATCCTGCATCTCCCAATTTATTGCTTAGCGATTGAATTCACCTGGAGTCAGGACAGCCATGGGTAAAGGTCTTGCAAGGAATGATGCAACATTGCCATCTTGTGGTTTCCAGCTGAAAATGGCTGAGGCAGAAATAATATCCACCCCCATTAAAACAGGCTTCTCTAAGTGTTTGACCTTTGCATTTTCAGCTGAGAATTCAGCTGGTAGGGAAGAGACAAGGCCTATTTCCAGATGGACACAAGACACAGTAGTAACTGGGTAATCGGGTTTACCCTCCTGAGCTCCCATTGTCCCCTCTTGTTCGATTCATTGAGTTCTCTCCCCACTCTGCTCGTCTTGTTATTAATAGTAGCTGCTGTATGACTCCAGCTGAATCAGCCTCTGCCATTCCTGAATCTCAGCTGACAGCCATTTAAGTGTGGCTCAGCAATCTAAATCACAGGTTCTATTCCCTTTCTGATTCTCCAAGTTTCAGAGCCCACGCCCAACCATTAGGAACCAAATCTTATCCTGGAAAAGAACAGAAACTCAGAAACTCTAACAGTGATCACTCCAGCAGTTCACCTGCCTGATCTTCAACATTTTTTACTTGTTTATTAATCATGTAGGAGTTATGATTAGTGTAAATATCAAGGAGTCTGACAATCCATCGATACCTTTAGGGAAAGAATTTTCGAAATGAATCAAAGACATATCAGTAAACTTATGTATCTGCAAAAAACAATCTCCCCCAAATTTGCATTAGTTTACTTTCTAGATTCCAATAGCATATGCTCACTTATAATCAGTCAGTGAAAAACTTGACCACGTACAATGTACCAAGCATTGGGCCATGTGTTTTGGATAAGTAATAAAACAGACCTGGCCCCAGCAAACATGTTGCTGGCCATCTAAGAGGGAGGACATATTTCATTTTTAAAAATCTATCATGGATATCAGTTTTTACCAAGGAGGAGAAGTACAAAGTACAATTGTGGAATCCCTTTGTGAGATCTTCTCACCTTTCCCATGAGGCAGCAGGGTGGTATTACACAAAGAGCATGGGTCTCAGATCTAGGTTTGTATTCCAACCCTCACACTCATCAGCTGGTAATGTGGACAGGTCAGTTTAACTCTTGGAGCCTCAGTTTTCTTATAACCAGAATCAATACATATTTCTCTACTTTATGAGAATAGCAAGAGGATTAAATGTGGTATTGCATGAAAAGATGTTCAAGTTCCTGGCACAGAATAAATGGTAGCAACTTTCCCTCTCATTTCAACCAGGATGCTTCTGATAAGTCACTTAGTAACTTCTTCACAACTTCACCTTAGAGCTGGTGTGTGGTACTTAAAGACTGAAGAGTGAATTTATTATCCCCCCCCCAAAAAATCTGATTACTCTATTTTTTAAGGGTTATCCCCATTTATTAATGACCCTACTGCATGACAGGGCCTGGCCAGGTCCTCTATATCTATGCTATTTCTAATTCTCGAAACTTTAAATACTACATTTCAAAGCTAAACACACATACAATTAATATCTGGAAAGTCTCATTATCTGCAGTGGGAGATGAAGTCTCCTTCTTTCTCCTAGTATGAATGACAGCTTTGGTGTTTCCTAATTAAGAAGTTAAATTCAAAATGTCTTTTATCCTCATCCCTAGAGGCAAGCTGGCACTTAATGTAAAATGAAACATTTGGGATGACCATTTGAAGGCACAGTAGGAGATTTAAAAGAATATGTATATCTGTTTGCTTGAATCTGCTTGCTAGCAGCTCTGGTCAAACTCATGCTAATTCTCTCATGCTCACTCTCAGCTCTTCTGAATCGGCCAGGAAAGATCTTTTTTTCCATATTTCCTCCACCTTGGGAGGCACTGCTTCCTGCTGATGCCTTTATAAACTGGAGTCTAACTTTGGAGTTTACAGAGAAGGCTAGGAAATGTTCATTTCTAAAAGAATTTTAAGAAACATGAAAAAACCCACACACTGTAGCAGGATCAATATTCACTTATACTGCACTCCGAAGTACAAAAATAAATAGCCTTTTTATTCTTCTGTAATTGATCTGGTCTTCTTCACAGGCTTTCACCCAGTTGATGGCAACAGAAATAGATATTTGTCTGACCTAGTAATTTAGACTTCCTGGGCATCATCACATCTCTGCTTGAATGACCTGGGTAAATGCTCAGGGTTTTAGAGACTGAGCTCCCTTCCCTTGCTCCTCCTACGATGCATCTTGGATATGGGAGAAAGGATGTGGCTCATGCAACCTTGAGGAGGCAGAAGGGAGGGAGCCGGCTGGAGTCCTAGAGAGGTAGGTTGGTATCTGCTGCAGAGGGCCTAGGCTGGGCTGGCCCCTGGAGACTACTGAGGCATGACCTTGTGCCCTGGGCATTCTGCTGGGGCCTCTCTGTAAAGTCTATGGCTGTTATACCTCAGGATGCCAGACTCAGCTCTTGCTTGCAGGGTGGACACACCCAAGGCCTGGCCAGGAAGCCCTGCCCTGCTGTCCTCAGCAATGTGGCTCCTTTGTCCATGAAAGCAACCCCTTCCTGCCATATTCCCCAGTCAGGGTCTACAGAATTCAGCAGCTAGCCCTAGGGCATGAGGAACATTCAGTCATTTGAAAGTTAAGAGAGATTCAGGAAAGCCAAACCCAGGTTCTCCTCAGCCTAACCAGGCTATGCTGACAAGCGTCCTTTAATGAAGCTGCCCACAGAATGCTACAGGGGCAACCTGTGAAACAAATCCACTCCTAGAATAACAAGCACGCTGGTGGTACACACACACACATGCATGCACTTCCCATCTTCTGGGTTCAGGCCCAGGAAAAAAAAAATCAAAACCTGTGTGTTCACCCCTTCCTCATTCCCTGCGCCCCCTCTTTTGACAATGCCATGTAAGAATAGGTAGACTTGAGTTTTTGCTTCTTCTGACAATTGTTCTCCTTTGGGGCATTAAATCCTGTGCCCTGCCTGCTGTCAGGCAAGGGGAGTAGCCTCTACACTTGGAAAATCTTAACGCTTTAATCACCTGCGGCCTACTTCTTGATCTGGTAAAAACAAACAAACAAAAAGCCAGGGGAAGGAGTAAAAGGAGTTTAAAGCATCTAAAATTTTGTTTTACTGCAGAACCAAAAAATACTACTTTAAATATCAAAATTGGAATACTAACTTTTTGTATCCCTCTTGTAACCATTCTAAGAGGTAGGAGGATGCTCCAGTAAACTACAGAGATTATGTGTAGGTAAGTGCAAAAGAAAAAGAAATCTCAAAAATACCATCCTATTGTACTCTATCACGGCTCGTCAGTTCAATTCTCCAGATCCTTACTGAGTATCCACTACATCTTCACCATTAGAGTACTACAGGCAGCACAGAGGATACGACATGGTTTGTGGCTTCGAGGAACCTCAATCTAACAGGAAGAAGGACTCTACTCTTGGATAATAAAGGGCAAGATCAGACTTGCACAAATGAGCGGCGAAGGCAATAAATGCTAGAGCTGGTAGTTCAAAAGGCACTCTGCAGACTTCTCATTCCTCTTCCTCCTCTGCTATTGTGAAGTTCTTTATTTTTATTTTTTAATCTCCCTGCTGCTTAAAGGGAAAGCACTGAAGCAAAGAGAAAGCAAGCCACCACTGCACGCCCATGGCTGCAGACAGCCCTTTTTCCAGGATCCAACAATTCCCTGAGGTATAAGCAGAGTGGATGAGGACACCTACAGGGTCTCAATTTTGCATATGCAATTTGTGCCCATAATTATTTTGATTGCTTCACGGGTCACATAAGGCTTTTCGAAGCAAACATCCACTAATTAAATATTATTATGCAAAATGTCTTGTTCTGTGCAGGCTTCTATATGTGAAGTACATGCTACCAAAAAATCTTATATCAAATCAAACATGTCTGCACTGGTTTCATTAAGACCCTTTAAGAGAGTGGTAGATGTAATTTAAGAAAGTCTATTTTGAGGCCGAAGTGGGCAGATCACGAGGTCAGGAGATCGAGACCATCCTGGCTAACACGGTGAAACCTCGTCTCTACTAAAAATACAAAAAAATTAGCTGGGCGCGGTGGCAGGTGCCTGTAGTCCCAGCTACTCGGGAGGCTGAGGCAGGAGAATGGCATGAACCCAGGAGGTGCAGCTTGCAGTGAACCCAGATAGCACCACTGCAGTCCGGACTGGGTGAAAGAGCGAGACTCCATCTCAAAAAAAAAAAAAAAGAAAAGAAAAGAAAGTCCATTTTGTATGTGTGCCACATTTTCTTTATCCAGTCTATCACTGATGGGCATTGGGTTGGTTCCAAGTCTTTGTAGCCATAAAAAAGAATGAGTTCATGTCCTTTGCAGGGGCATGGATGAAGCTGGAAGCCATCATTCTCAGCAAACTAAAACAGGAGCAGAAAACCAAACACCGCATGTTCTCACTCATAAGTGGGAGTTGAACAATGAGAACACATGGACACACGGAGGGGAACATCACACACCGGGGCCTGTCGGGGGGTGGGGGGCAAGGGGAGGGAGAGCATTAGGACAAATACCTAATGCATGCGATGCTTAAAACCTAGGTGGGTTGATGGGTGCAGCAAACCACCATGGCACATGTATACACATGTAACAAACCTGCATGTTCTACACATGTATCCCAGAACTTAAAGTAAAATAAAAAAATTAAAAAATAATTTAAAAAAAGAAAGAGTCCACTTACATAGAGACTTAGAGGATGCAGAACTAAATGTTTCCAATGTTATTCTGGATTGTGTGTTTTTCTTTGCTTTTAAAAAAAGATTAGCATCAACATTTAATAAGCCAAATAGAGCACGAAGTGTAACATCCAGAAGTCAAAATTTCCTATACTTAGTTTTCTGTAGGTATCTCATTTGAGAATCACTCAGATTTCTGCCAAAAGGAAAACACAAGAAGAGAGTCCAGGAGAACTGCTTGTGGACAGGGTCAGGCAGACAGATGGACAGACAGGAGGAAAGAGAGAAAGTCACCTGTCACTGACACGTTTTTCCGCCTCTGAAATCAGATCACAGATTCTCATTGTTTTCTTTAGTCTCCTGCTCCACGGCCTTCCTCAGTGAATGGATCTACATCTGCTCCATCAGACTGGCCTGAAAAGCCATGGCCTCCATGTGGGCCTTCCCTCTAGACCTGCACGATTAACTCACATGCTAAATCGTATTTCTCTCTTGTACAAACCTTCAGTACTTAATAGCATAGAGACAAAGATAATTCTCTTTCTCCTTGAAGGTTGGATCATTCGAGGCTATAAAACAAAATGATAGTAGATTAACAGGAGAAAAGGTATGCAAATTTATTATGTGTGCATGCACATGGAAGCCACATGAAATAGAAGACCCGAAGAAGGACTGACGACTGAAATTTTTATAACTGTACAAAAAACTAGAGGCTAGGGCTCCTGGGGGAAGGTGGTGACAGATTCTGGGGGGATAAGGGGAGGAAGCCATGGATAAGCACAACCTGTCTTATTATGCTGAATTATCTCAGGGAGCAGCCCTCAGAAAGAAGAGATGGGAGCTTGTGATTAAGTTCCTCTGCCAGACCTTCAAAAGTGACTGACCTTCAGTCTCCTTTGCCTGTGAGATCATCTTTCCTAGACCTAGAATAGGGGACCTCAGAGAAAACCTCTGCCAGCATCCCCTGTTTGCTTTACCAATGTGGATAGATGCAAATTTCCTCTATAAGATGATAGCTTTTCAGTGCTATTTCTGTGTCTGCAGTTTTTCTGAATAACCGGCTCAAAATATGCCAAAGAAGTGTATCTGGGGGCGGCATAGTCTGGTTTCCAACAGCATCTCCAGCCTGCCTTTCTGATTCTCGCTCTGTAATCCTCAACACACAGCCTCAGTGATTCTTCAAGCTCTCCACGGCCTTTAGTCACCTTCTGTTTCTCAAATTTCTTGAAAAGATCAGAGACGGATTTGTCCATGGAGTGCAAGTCTGTACCAAGTTGATATTTTTCTTTCAAAAGGCCCTCCAGGTATTGCCGGCCTCAGCTCTATCGAGCTCCTTCTGTTCCTGAGCCTCCCCAGTCATCTGGATTATGATCCCTTCAAACCCAACCGTGATTTTCCCCATCTCCAGACTTTTCACTGGGAGCCCCTCCTACTTGCTTTTCTATTCCAGGCTCTCCCTTTACGAGGCTTTAACCACAGCATCGGGTCCTCCTGGGTGTCCTGCAGACTTGTCCTTGTCGGGGCATCACAATGAGCAGAGATGAGCTCATGGCCCTCAACAGGTCAGGAATGGTCCCCCACAGGAACAATTAGGGCTAAGACATCAAATTCCACTGGCTTTGCTTTAGACAGACTTCCAGAGCAAGGCTGTGTGCATCACAAATGCTGTTAGTCTCATTAGCCATAGGACTCAGTTTCTTAGGGCTGTCTTCTAAGAAAGGGTCAAATTTAAGGGAGAAAAACTCTTTTCTCAGGACAGACTTCTTCAACAGAAAAGTTACAAAGTACTACAAATAATTTACCTCATTCCCTGTGCCTAGAATATCTGCTCAATCTCTGCAGCTCTCCTCTTTGAGGCCCGTGGCAGGCTCTGGGCCCTGCTGGGATCACGGAGATGCTGACACTATGCATGGAAGGGCAAATACAAATCAGACAAAAAAAAAAAAAAAAAAAAAAAAAAAAAGCCAATTCTTTTTGTTGCAAAGAAAAAGGAAAGAGACCTTCCCCCTTGCCCTCTTCTTTGGGCATTTACCTTAGAAAACTAGTAAGTGTAAGCTCTTACTCTGCTACTTTGAAATGTATATAAATATTTTTAAAAGCTAAAGAAGGCTCTTACCAATTTTACAACCCAGGAATGTTTCCACAAGAACCTGGGAACCATCTCTTTGAAATATAATCATTAAGGAAGTTAAGGCTCCTATCTCTCAGTTTCCTGGGCAGGGTAGGAACCTAACTTCAATTGATGCCTGGATCCAAATTGCAAGTCTCCCTCCTATCATAAAGAGGTGGGAATTTCGTTTTTCCCTTGGATAAAGGCTATTATCAAATGCGGATGATCACCCCGAAATTCCAGGTGATTTTAGAACGAACTGCCTATAACAAATGGTGCCGGCAAGTCCTCTTGAGGATCAGTTTTGTTTATCTTGAAAACATGTATGTAATGGGTTGCATCTGCCTGGCTTTGTAAAAGCATGAGACTTCTTTCTGTCTTTGCCAAAATCACTTAATGGATTGCCTGGGATGTGTATCCCATTCTGGTTCAATGCTTATTCAATAATAACACTTTTTTCTCCTATGTTTGTTAGAGAAGTTTACTCGATTGGCAAGAGGTTTTTCTTCCTTTGTGCTTTGCAAGTGTGTTCCAGATTTTACATATTGCATGCTTATTACATATGTGATTTTAAGATATTTTACATTATGCCATAGAATTAAAATAATTAAATGTATCTGAATGTTTAGTTGCCTTAGGTTAAAATAAAACCAAATAGAAATTAAATATCAGGAAGAATAGAATAATTCTACAATATCCTGGATAACCTCTAACATTAACTATTATAGGCCTGATTTCTCCATCTGAGAAATGAGGATTACATAACTCATATTAATCAATTACAGGCTTTTGGAAGCTGTTTAACATCTTCTCAATGTATCTCAAAGTACAGTAAACATCTGGCTTAAGCACAGTTCTCCAGGCCCTCCTGACTTTCATAAAACTTTCTCTGATGAAGAGAGACTTCTCTTGAAACCATGACCCTTCTGTTAAGAAAGGGAGAAACCAACAAGTTCAGTGATTTTCAAGAAGTCAGGATACAAATAGTAAAGAAAGGGGTCTCTTTGACATTAGTATAAATCTACCACCCTACCTCACCCCGATGATCTATTTTAAAAAATTCTGTCGCAAAATATTCAGAGATTTCCTCATTGAAAGTGTTTTTCATTGTTTTAATGGCACAACATACTTTAAACCCTAGAAATAAACAAACAGTTTCCATACATTTACTTACACTTGAAGAATTTCTTGGTGTCATGGCAAACCCCTATCAACTACAATGGGGATGGTACTAGTTTCAAGAGGCCAAAGAAGTGACCTGGAGCCAGCAAATGAGACGTAGGGTTTGTTTTTTGTTTGTTTGTTTGTTTGTTTGTTTTTTTGAAACGGAGTCTCTCTCTGTCACCCAGGCCCCAGGCTGGAGTGCAGTGGCGCGATCTCGGCTCACTGCAAGCTTCACCTCCCGGGTTCACACCATTCTCCTGCCGCAGCCTCCTGAGTAGCTGGGACTACAGGCGCGTGCCACCATGCCCGGCTAATTTTTTGTATTTTTAGTAGAGATGGGGTTTCTCCGTGTTAGCCAGGATGGTCTCGATATCCTGACCTCGTGATCCGCCCGCCTCGGCCTCCCAAAGTGCTGGGATTACAGGCGTGAGCCACCGCGCCCAGCCCAAGAGACACAGGGTTTTATCAGGGTCTTACATACAAGGGAGAGAGTCTGGTGGTGGCTGGACTGGACAGGATAACTGCATGGGCCAGTGGCACCGGCTGGCCCAAAGAACCACCCTGCATACAGCCCAGTGGCGGCAAGCTGGGCAGGAACACTGCAACGACTTACAAACAGCATGCAGTTTATATAGCATTTTCACTTAACACCCTCCCCTTAATGGCCTCTAACTGGGTGGGTTCGTTTAACCCAAAACTCAGGGCCCCATCCCCTGTATGGCCCATGTTCCATGGGATGGGCCAGGGGCTCAGATGTTCCTCATAGACAAGGAATGAAAACTTCAGGTCAGCCGCTCCCAGATTCCCTGTCTCAGAACACACATTCAGGTGTGTCTGCCATACCAGGTCATTTTAAGGGTATGCTTATATTATTGCTATCAGATGCATTTACCCTACACTTGGAAATAAACAGTGGCCTCATAACAAAGACTAATAATGCTTTTTATTGCATTAAATCTTTTATCAACCCTAAATTTAAATAGGGTCGTGTAAGATAACTAAAGAATAAAAGACACAGTAGGCTCTCTGGTACCTAAATCCCTACATTAAAACTCACGAGCCACCTATTAGGTTGGTGCAAAAGTTATTGTGGGTTTTGGCATTACTTTTAATAGCAAAAACTACAATTACTTTTGCACCAAAAATGTTAGACTAAGCATCTTTACTAACTTGGATTTTGCCACTAATCACACAAGAAGTCCCCAAATTCCTAAGAGCCACAGAAGAGGCAGCATAGCAGAACAGTTAAGAGCATAGGTTTGGAATCAAATAGATCTGACTTTGAAACCAGGCAAAACCACTAACTAACCTTGTGACTTTGTTCAGGTTCTTTAATCTTGCTGCAAAGTTTCCTCAGCTGAAAAGTGAGTTAAAAAATTAGATGAGATAATATCCTCACAGCCACTAGATATTGTTCTAGAATTGTTTTATCCAGCTCTGTCATTCAAATATATATTAGAGTTCTTAGCTTTGTATATGCCAGTGTCTCAGTTTATGACTTTGGTAATTTGTCTTTAAAAAAAAAAAAGGAAGAAGAGGGCTAGGAGTGGTGGCTCATGCCTGTAACCACAGGACTGTGGAAGGATCTCTTGAGGTCAGGAGTTTGAGACCAGCCTGCTGGGAAACATAGTGATACCCCATCTCTACAAAAAGTAAACAAAATTTAGCCAGGCATGGTGATGTGCGTTTTTAGTCCCAGTTACTCAAAACACTGATGTGAGAGGATCACTTAAACCCAGGAGTTTGAGGCTGCACTGAGCTATGATCACATCACTACACTCCAGCCTAGTCAAACCATGTCTATTAAAAACAAAAAACAAAACAACAACAACAAAAAAACAGGTGAGGTTGGCAAAATAATTTCACAAATTATCAGGCAACCAAAAGCCAATAAAATCCAGCCTGACCTTCACATAAGGCACAAATTCTTTGGTTTGTCCCTTTAAGAAAGCAGAGCTCTGAGTCCACCAGTCAGCCAAAAATAACATAAAACTCCAACTCTAGCTCATTCCTATCAGAGAGACTTATTGCTTTCAACCCAATTTATCATTCTATGTTACAAATCAGCATCTCTACAGCATGTTTCGAATTAATTAAAAGACATTCCTTTCCATCCAAGGTATAATCAAGGCAATTTACTTCTAAACATAATCAAGAAATTATATAAAGGAAGATTAAACATATGAGGAATTTTTTCATGTGTGAAGTTAATTGATTTTCATATCTTTTTTTTTAGGTTTTAAATGAGAATTCTAAAAGAATGGATTTTCCAAAATATCTCAACTCAGCAGAGTTCTGCAATACTTCTTCAGTGAAAATCACAATTTCCACTGAAATAGCTCCCAGGCTATGGGGAACTGTGGGACACTCAGGTAGTAAATTTATTATGGGGCTGCCAGTAGCTACATTCAGAGCTCCTGGAACCCTTGACCAGAGCTCCTTCAGAATACTCAGAAGAGGGCAAAAAGAATGATGGAAACATGTTCTTTCTTTCAGTAAAAGCTCAGAGCTACGTATTTTAATAGTCCAGATAGGGACAAGATCATTAGTAGTTCTTAGAATGGGAGAGCAGTGGAGAGAAAGAACTTCTAGTCTTGTTTGTTCATCTCCGTTCTCTTGAAAAAAGTGTTCACTTGCAATATTCATCACCATAAAGAGTACTGGTAACCTCTGCTGAAAGCCAAAGAAGTGCCTTATTTAGACAATAGACATGGCAGCCTCCATGACAAATGGGAACCCTTAATAGGTTTCCCTGGTCCCAGATCTCTACTCCAGCATTTCTGTGACCCCTTAAACTTCCTCCTGAGTAACTCCAGGGAATTCTTCTCTGACATGGAAATATTGCAGGGGAGTAACATTACGGTACCATGAATAGTCATCACCCATGTTGGCCCACTATCTTCAACGGTTAAGGGTCCCTTTTATCATATGCTTCCCCACACTTCCATGGAATCTATGTTTTGGAAGATTTTGCCAGTAAAACAAATGAAATTATAACAAACACTCCTTTGATCCTCATTTTAAAAATTAATGTAGGACATAGGAAGTGCCCAATTCAGCACAGGGCCACCAGCATCACCACAGAGAATTGATATAATCCCAATCAAAAGCCAGTAAGAGTGATGCAGAGCCCAGTTTCGAGAAGCAGAGCACCTGGGTTGGAATACCAGCTCAGCCATTTGCCAGCTGTGTGACTTTGAGCAAGGTAGACAACCTTTCTGTTCCTTAATGTTCTCATTTGTAAGATGCCAGTAATAATAACACCTACCCTAAAGCGCTGTTAAAGAGACTAAATGAGTTAATATATACTTAAAGAACTTATAACAATGTCTGAAATAGAGTAAATATTTATTCATTCTAGCTCTTATTATTTTTTAACAGCTTTAATCCTAGAAGTAATTCCAGGAAATATTCCTAGTAACTTGTGTGCCTGGATGTTTGGACCTAAGTGAAGAACCTTGCATTAAGGCCTTTTAAAAGTTTTATCTTGTTCTCATGTGGCTCACAATTCAGCTCTCACCAGTGTAATTAATTATAGCTTTAACACCATCATTCTGTATCAAGTGTGGTGAAAATAAATGATAATCATTCATGATAGACTAAAGATGTCAGTAACACTAGTGTTGATTACATAAACCCTGGATTTTTTAAAGTGACTATTTCTTCATTCATAAAGTGTCACTAGGAAGTGTATATCATTTCCATTTCCCTGATTTAATTTGGAAACTCAAGATATAAGCTTTTATCTGATGTAAACCAAACATTTCGGGGAGTGGGGGATAATAATGGATCAAGAAAAGTCCATTAATTCTGTCAAATTTCTGGGGGAAATGGGTCAAAATGTCCTGAATGGTGAACAATATTACTATGTCCATATGAAATAAACAATGCAATAATCTTGGCATAAGGACACTACTCTGAAAATGGCAGTAGCCCAGTCTTTCCAAGTGCTGAAATAGATAACTATCAAGAGGGTGAGAGAGTCAGGCTGTATAGTCCTCATACAAGCCACCATCAGGGCCACCAGAACTGTGACACTGTTCCCAAGTGCTGACTGACTCCAAACAGACAACCTTCAACCTTTTTTACTGCTACAATCATCTTTTGAGAAAGCTAATTGCAGCCAAAAAAAAAAAAAGACAGACACCTCCCCTCCCAAGCCAGGTTCTAGTACTGGCTCTGCAAGCTTAAGAAGTTACTCTGTGGCTCAATTTCCTAACCTGCAAAATGGAAATAATACTGATACCTACTTAGGGAGTTTTATGATAATTAAATGAGTTAATGTGTGTAAAGGTTCTAGAACAGTACCTGACACAAATTAAATGTTACTCTTTTTTTTTTTTTAATACAAGTTTCTAAGATTTTCCTCAAATCTAGTGAGCCAGAATCTGCAAATCTCCCTGGATGACTGTGATACGCAGCAGCTCTGAGAACCATGGATAGGCAATAGTCACTTGATTATCTCATTTAAAATCTCTCTGAATGGCTCAGGAACAGAAAGAGGAGACAGTTCGATGGCTCTAGACTGGTGGTTCTCAACTGGGGCAGTTTTGCTCCCCGAGACACACTTGTCAATTCCTGGAGAAATTTTTGGTTGCCACAATTGGAAGAAGGTTGCTGCTGACATGTGGAGCAAAAGCCAGAGGATGGCTCCCACTACAAAGAATTATCAGGCCCAAAGTGTCAATAGAGCTGAGACTGAGGAACCCTGATCTGACCAGTGCTTCTCAAGCTTTTATGTGCATAAAAATCACCGGGGGGGGGGGGTCGCGTTAAGGTGCATATTTTGACTCAGTAGATCCAGGGTAAGACCTGAGAGTCTGCTTCTCTAACAAACATCACCAGGGAGCTTGTTAGAATATCTCAGGCCCCACCCTAGACCTGCAGGACCAGAATCTGTATTTTAACAAGTTCCCTAGAGGACTTACATGCACATTAAGATTTGAGAAGTGTTATTCTAGAAAATCCAATCAGCTTCGAGCTAACCCACAGAACAGAAAGCTGTTTTTCAGAAGTATTGACAAAGAATAAGACTGAATATTCTCCAGGCAATACTTTTTACTTCTGTTGGAGAACTGTGGGGATTTCATTAGCTGAGACTCGGGGATGGATTATTCAGACATTCAAAGTAGGCCTTAGTGTTCCTTACTCAAAGCTAGCAAAATCTTAAGAGTGTTCTAGGAGACAGGAAGGGAGAAAGGAAAGAAGGAATGAAGAAAAAAAGAAAAGAGACAGTGAGTTTGGAAATGCTCCATACCAGGTTAAGCAAAAACATCTTTACTACAGGACTTCTCAGAGCCTTTACTGTTCTAGAGTACAACCTTGAAATTCCAAAAGGAGAGATTTCAAATATTTGGCCATAAAAGCTCTTTTATTCTTCAGCATCTCAAGGCCTTAATATTCTAAACTCGCGTTTGGAAACGCTAGTCTGAGTAAACCATTCTATTTACTGGAGTTTGAAAGGACTGTCATACATACATCTTTCTGGACTCTTCAACCTCAAGGGACTTTATATCCCTTAGGAACCAGAAGAGGCACTAATAAGTAAGAATAGCTGCTAACTTTTTTACCATCTGGGACATACCTGACACTGCGATAGACATTTAATATGCATTTTCTCTTGTCCTTATTATAGACCTGCAAGGTAGGGATTAACCCTATTTGCATCTTAGAAAAATGAGACATGGAGGGGATGAGAAATGTGCTTAAAACCACGCATCTCGGTGACGCTTGATGTGCTCAATCAACCCAGCTCCATTTGCTGTAACATTGCCTTCTGTGGCACAGGGGTATGAAACTGAGAGCCTCACACTAGATCCCAATCCTGGCTATAGACATCTGCTCTCCCTGAGACCTGACTTCCTCTGTGCTGGTAAACCACCTGGCCCCTGTCTTGATTTCCAACCCACATCTCTATCCTCATTTGCTTGCCTTTAACATTTCTACTTTGCACAGTGTCCTCTGCTATGGCCAACTTTCACAGGGACTTCTACCTTCTTTTTACAAATGAACTGCTGGGATGGGGACTCACAGCTTAGGACTTGGGCTCACTCTCAGATTGCCCAGATAGGTTGTATTATCACCACTTCTAATTCCCTGCATGGGAAACAGCCCATCCAGAAAATAAAGGCATTGAGAGAGACTAGCAGCTCCCACCTGGGGGCTCCCTTTACCCCATTCGGTACCTAGTAAAGTCTGTTGCCTCTTGCCACATCTCAGCAACAGATGCTCCTCACACCGGACTTGACTGGGCAGCCGACCTGGTCACTTGGTCCCCTGCTTTCATTATTCACTTCCCCTTGACAGATACATCTGCTTACAACAACCTACTATCAAGTAGTACTGATTTTACGGCAGGCAGCATGCTAGGTGTATGCACGGATCGTTCCTTTTAACTGTCACAACACTGCAAAGTAAGTAATATTACCTCCACTTTGAAGATGAGTAAAGCAAGCCCATAGCAGATACATTATCTATACAATCACCCAACTAAAATATGCTGAACTCAAACCCTACTTTTTCTGACCCCAGAACCTGTCCTCTCATTCACTAACTGAAAACCCTCAATAAAGCAATTAAATGCCCATAAAATCCTACTGGAAGAGGAGGGAGAGGGGATATAGACCAATCACACTTGTTGCTTGGTTTCCTCATGAAAAACGCTGCATGAAGTTTTCTTGGCAAATATTTCCAATGACAGATGTACAAACCGAGGAAGGCTGCTGTAGCATGAGATTGTATTTTTCCCAGCCCAAATTTACAACTGAACAGGACTTCAGTTTATGTCAAAACAAGATACTAAAATGGGTTCATGAGCTCCACAGGGATGTAGGTTTGTGAAAATGATCAAAATCACAACCCTGAAAAATGAGCAGTGTGAAAAACAGACCCACAACCTCAGCTTGGTTTATGGGGAAAAAGATCAGCAGGTGCCCTCTATCCCGGGATTCTGGACCCAAAGGGAATTGTTCTTCTCAAAAGGTATCCTTAGGACATCAGTCCCTTCATCTGTAGGATGAGGGAATTGAAGTAAACATTCTCAAAAGTGCCTTCTAACGCCAAATTCTGTGGCTTTCTGAAAGGGCAAAGCAATTTCAAACTGCCTGTTGGGAGCAGCTTACAGAACATTCCTTAGAAGGAAACAAGGATAAGATTGGCCCTCTCCACACATAAGTTTTTTATTGCCTATTCAAGTTCAGTTGTATTCTTTCCCACAATGTGGACTCCTGGAATTCCTTCCCTTTTTCCACTTTTCAGAAACTCACAGATGTTACATCAGGAGAGTCCTGGACTCTCCAGGACTCACCTGTGATTGGAAAAAAACGCAAGAACAAAAAACCAAATACCGCATATTCTCACTCATAGGTGGGAATTGAACAATGAGAACACATGGACACAGAAACGGGAACATCACACTCTGGGGACTGTTGTAGGGTGGGGGGAGGGGGATGGATAGCATTGGGAGATATACCTAATGCTAGATGACGAGTTAGTGGGTGCAGCGCACCAGCATGTCACATGTATACATATGTAACTAACCTGCACATTGTGCACATGTACCCTAAAACTTAAAGTATAATAATAAAAAAAAAAGAAAGAAAGCAGGAACTAGCTCTGTTTCCCCTAAATGCCATTGACCTGTCATGGGATGCCATCACATATATCTTTCTCAATTGGAAAGGCAATGACATTGTGTATTCCCTCAACCAGTGCTTCTCAAACTATCTGGGGTGAAAGGTCAGTTTTGTGTTGTCTTATTTTAAATTCCCAATCCATCTCAGAGTGATATTTTATTAAATATAATACAAATAAATGCTGCTTAGATGTCACAGTAATTCCAAATTGTTATAAAAGTTTCTAAATGTTGTCTCTTCATTTCTAAACTCATCTTCCCCTTGAGCAGTAACAAATGGTTCATAACAAACAGTTCACAGAACCACCCAGGACTGCAGACCACATTGAGTACTATTGCCCTAAAGCCCTATTCAATTTTATTTCAGGCATTTATTAGGCAATTTCTATGTCTACATTAGGTGCTATAGGCACAGATGATATTTATATGACTGGCCTAAAACCTCTTTTAGATGCTGAGATAACTGAGAATGAGGCTGGGATATTGCAAAGTGATTGTATTATTAAATAATGCACAGGTTTTAACTTGAAAAGAGGGAAGATAGCACCTGGCTATCCAAGTCAGAGAGGTATTATACCCAATTCAGAGAACATGAGGTATAATAGAGAATGAAACCTCATACAATATCATAAAGTGTTATTTTTTAAAGTTCTGGACAAATCTCAACCCCTAATCAACACCTTTTTCTTTATCCCTGGCTTTAACCCTTGGAGATGGAAGAGAAGCCTATGAAGCAAAAACCTAGGATTCAGCCTCAACTCCTCTCATTTACTCACTCTTTCCATATAATTTCATACTATATGTTGATCAACTCTACCACCAGAACAAGTCCTCAATCCATCCACTCCTCCGCACCTCCACCAATAACATCCAAGCCAAGCCACCATCACCCCACACCTGGATTGCTGCAAGGCTACCTGTGACCTGGTCACCCTGCTTATTCTCTTGACTCCATCTCAACCCATCAAGTGGAGTTGATCTCTTGAAGTATAAAGCACAGTAAATGCTTAAACAACTTAATGGCTCCTCATGGCACTGAGATTAGAATTCAATACACTATCATAGCCAGCAACGTCACAGTCTCCAGAGCCCTCACCTGTCTGATCTCATCTCTAGCAAACTTTGCCTTTCCTCACTGCACTTCAGCCACATAGGCCTTCCTCATGTTCCTCTGAACACCGAACTTGGTCTTTAATCCAGCTATTGACTCAACCAGTAGCTCTCTTTCCCCAGGTCATGGCAGGCTCAGCGCCATCTTGCATCCTAGACTCAGTTTACTGGTAACTTCCTTAGTGAGGCTTTCTCTGAGCACCCAAATGCTCGCTCTCACTTCAATCAGATTGATGTTCATTATAGCATTGATTACTAATATGTGTTCAGTCTCATTCACTGATAATTCTTGAGTGCCGGTGGCAGAGCAAAAGCATTCAATAAATATTTATTGTGTATAAGGAAAACTTTCAGCACTGACCCAGAGTTTGTGCTTATTTTCTACTTAGCAGTATGAAAAATAACTAATTCACTTCAAAAAAAGTGCAATAAATAAAGATGAGGATTTTTTTGCTGACTTACTTGGGATTTAATTACATGGAGAATTTTGATGAAAAGAAGGAAAAATATCGTAGTGCATTATAGTGGTAATGTGTGGGAGTTTTCATTGTTTACATCTCCTGCCTGGGGTTTTATTAATGAGCTAACTATCTCGTATGTGATAATGTATTACAAGTTCCATTTGGTTGTGGGTCAAGATAAAATAGCACAGTGTAATTTCAATGAAATGATGTTTGCTTGGGGAATGGCAGACTCGTTTAACACTTCCTTCTCTTTTTATGCACTTTAGTTGTGCGCACCCCAAGTTACACAGACCCAGCCTTCCTCCCATCTAGCTTATGGGAAGAGGCAGTTGAGCAAGCTGTTTGGCAATCCAATTCGACTTCTGAAAAAAACCAAGAACTAAAGTGGCCCCTCAAACGGCCACCTTGCCTGACAGCCTTTGAATGATAGTGGGTGTTTTGACAGCCACCTCGGATTTTCTGAAAAGCAGGCAGGTATTCACCACCTGGTTACTTCTCAGAAGCAGCAGCTCCACGGGCCAAAGCAGAGGCCTGAGCTCAGAGAGGTGGTGTTCCCCATCAATAGACAACCTTCAAAATGTAGGCAGCACCTCACGCCCACCTGTGTTAACTGTCAGCTGGCCACAAGAGAGAGTGCAGCGGTGGGAATGCCCCTGTTATCTCCAGCTTTCATCGTCTGTGGTAGAGAGAAGCTGCTCTTGTGGGCTGAAAAGGATGAGTTTCAAGGTTTTCTTGGCCTTTGATGTCAACTCTTCACTGCCACAAGATAAGCATGTGCCATCTGTTGTGCAGCAAGGTGTCTTAACAGGTGAGCAAGACAGACCAAGGAAATACAGACATATACAGGTATTTGTCATTGGCGCTACATAATGGAGATGAGCCTGCTCTCTCCGAAAGAACATTGAGCTCAACTTCTAGAAAGTATAAAGAAAGGCTATTTACTTCTCTTCTTAGCTATGAAAGGTAAATACTTAATTGAGGCAATGGGTCAAACTAGTGTTTTCTTAGATCACCACTGGGTTCCTTGAGGTATTGCATTGACTTCTCTTCCCTGTGCCAAAATCTGCCTCTCTGTGATGTTATAAAGTATTCCTTTTTCCTACTCCCACATCTCACCTAAGTTGTTGCTGAACATGTGGTAGACCTCAATTGATACTTAGTATTTTCTTAATACTTTCTATTTTGACCAATGATTGTTTTTAAATGTAATGACTATGCTATTTGGAGAAAATGAACATGTGGGCACACTTTTTGCAAAATTTATTTCATCTCTCATTCTAAACTCTTTTAATGGCATGGAATGGATTATTTATTTGATATATAGCATATTCAAGTTTAATTTCAGCACAATGAGAAATAAGCACTTTGGGTGCCATCTGTGTGAAACTCTTTATGAACCTTGCAAATTGAGGACAATAACTAAATAAAATATAATAGACTTGTTCAGGATGACAAATCAGAAGCCATTATGTCAGTGAAGACATTTTCAGAAAATGAATATTATGACCAGCACTGTACATTGTCCCTGACATATAAGGGACTCATATATCCTTGTTTTTGAACACAGAAGCATCTTAAGTCCAGCACCCAAACCCTCATCTGCAACTAGCACATATCCTTATTTTTTTTATCTTAAATTAAAACCCCTTCTCCTGAGTTCTGTGCACCTGCACATGAGAGGCCAGATGTTCAGCTGTTTGAACACAAAACAACAACCAACACAGACCTCTATATGTCACACTTACACTTAGTGGATCAGTAAATGCGGAAAGCAGAAGCAGGTGCTGTAGGCAAAGCCCACAGGCCAGAACAACAAAAAGGAATAAAGAATGGAGTTAAGACAAATTCTGGTTTCTGTCCTTGCCATAACATGGCACATGTATACATATGTAACAAACCTGCACATTGTGCACATGTACCCTAGAACTTAAAGTATAATAATAAAAAAAAGACAAATTCTGTATGTTTTTCCCCTGAGAAAGGTCAGCAAACTCAACTTCAGAAAAACAAAAAGGCAACCCAGACTAATCTGTGGAACTTATTGACACTTGGAAATAGCTGGCTTCACGGCCAGGTGTGGTGGGTCATGCCTGTAATCCCAACACTTTGGGAGGCCGAAGAAGCAGATCACCTGAGGTCAGGAGTTCAAGACCAGCCTGGCCAACATGATGAAACCCCGTCTCTACTAAAAGTACAAAAATTAGCCAGGCATGGTGGCGGGCGCCTGTAATCCCAGCTACTAGGGAGGCTGAGGCAGGAGAATCACTTGAACCCCGGGAGGTGGAGGTTGCAGTGAGCCGAGATTGTGCCACTGCACTCCAGCCTGTGTGACAGAGCAAGACTCCATCTCAAAAAAAAAAAAAAAAAAAGAAAGACTACACATTTTTGCAGACATAAAAGTACTATAATTATATATCATGTACCATAACCTTCATTACTGACTTGACATTATTTTGACACTAAAATGTCTTCCTATATTCCTTCATGCAAAATTTATTTACATTAGAATTATATTGTTTGATCTTTTTTCCCCACTTTTGTACTAGAGAGAATAACTTTCTGATTGTTATCCCTATAAATCAACATTCTGGTGCAGCCTGTGCAGACATTTTTTATTAGTTTCTTTACTGTAAATTCAATGGATTAATAAATCATGACATTAATTATCTGATTCTGTAACAAAATGTTAACAAAGAAACTAGACACCAGATAAATATTAGTTGAAAGAATATAAATTTTCATGTGATCCATTTCTGCAGTACACAACCTGGGTTTCCTAAGTAAATGAAGTCAATGATGAACACCATAATGTGCAAGATCCAGAGCTTTACTAAGGGGCAAGAGTGAATGAGATTTGGCCTTTGCCCTTGAGGTTGAGAGAAAACCTGTACACAAATAACTACAATACAAACTGGAATGTGATGAGCGCCAAGAGTGTTACACAATCATTCCAAGGCTCTGTAGAGGATGAAACGACACCTGGTTGGGAGAATCTGAAAGGTTCATGAAGGAAGTGACCCCTGGGATGCATCTTAAAGAATGAGCAGAAATTTCCTGGGCAGAAATGAGGGGTGACCATCCAGAAAGAGAGAACAATAAGAAGAAAGGCATTAGGTGGAAGGAAATACTCAGGAGACACTTGTAGTCAGTTTTGTTGGTATCTTGGGGTGCATGAGAATGAGTCCTTGAATGCTAAATTGATACATTTTTAATAATTCAATAGAGAATGAGCAGCTAGTGGTAGTTTTCTTATTTAAAAAAAGGATAGCAACACAAAGATTCATATAAAATATGCTAGAATTGAGAAAATAGAGGCAGTTAGAGACTAATTAGAAAATAAGAAGGCTTCCAAAGGAGATAAGTAAAAATAGGCTGGGCGCAGAGGTTCACGCCTGTAATCTCAGCACTTGGGAGTCCAAGGCAGGCAGATCATGATGTCAGGAGTTTGAAACCATCCTGACCAACATGGTGAAACCCCATCTCTACTAAAAATACAAAAATTAGCCGGGCGTGGTGGTGTGCACCTGTAATCCCAGCCACTCAGGAGGCTGAAGAATCGCTTGAGCCCAGGAGGCGGAGGCTGCAGTGAGCCAAGATTGTGCCACTGCACTCCAGCCTGGGCAACAGAGCAAGACTCCATCTGAAAAAAAAACAAAAACAAAAACAAAAAACAAACAAACAAAAACACTAGAATTGAGAGAATAGAGGCATTTAGAAACTAATTAGAAAATAAGAAGGCTCCCAAAAGAGGTAAGTAAAAATAAAGGCCTGAATCATGGCAGGCGGAATACAGAGGAGAGATTGAAATCAAAAGGTTATTTTTGCAGAGGCTCTGGCCACCAATATGGTGCTATAAACAGGATGGAGGAATATCTGGGTGAGAAAGAGCTGCTGCTTTAGAGTACAATGTTCTGAACATATGAATGACTTGTGCATGCACAAGAAAGCCCTCTCCAGAGAAGACCCAACACACTCATGCATTTCTTCCCTTTCTCAGTGTCAGAGATCCTAGAACTTACCTAGCTACAACTGGGTCACACCTGAGGTTTTCTCCAGCATGAGAAGAATACCCAAGACCCTCTTTCAATACATCCAATCTCTATTGCTCATTTATTCAACATTATAAACTCATGTGCTTCCCATCGATATGCACTATACTCAACCTTATAAAGAGGATAAGACACTGTCTTCATCTCCATGTTCTGATAGTCTAGTGCTATTGCAACTCTGGCAGAGAAGGATGTGTTTTCTTGGTGTTTACCTCTTTTTAAAAAAAGGAAATGACTTTTTCTGCAAAGTTAAAATAAGGTGAAATTTAAAAAAGAAAATATTACACACATTGCAATAAAAATAAGCAAGATAAAGTTGACGCAATCTCAGAAAATAGAGCAAGCAAATCAAAATAGGAAAACATTATAGTAGCAATATAAGAAGTTCAACATCTGAAAAGTGGACATTCTGGAAAGATAATAAAGAGGAAATGGAAGGAAGAAAAAATTTCAAGAAAATTTCCCGAAACTGAAGATCTAAATTTCCAGGCTAAGAGGCTACTGAGTACTTTGCACAAAGGATGAAAATAGACCTATGCCAACACATATCACCATAATCAGAATATTAAGAATATAAAATTGAGATCATATAAAATTCCAGAGAGAAAAAGCCAAAAAGCCCTGTGCAATCTGGCCCTGCACACCCCTCTAGGTTCACCTCTTCTCAATCACCTACTCCTAAGCCCCGCTCCCTTTCCACCCATCTTCCCTCAAATATAAGTAAAAATCACCCATCTCTTCTGTTTAAAACCCTCTCATGGCTTACACTGCAGTCAGAATACATAAAATACAAAGAAAACAGGGGAATTAGGCTTTAGGTCAACCTCTAAATTTTGATAACTCTTACGAGCATTAACATTCTTAATGAATGGATAAAGGATTCTGCTTTACAGACAGCTACAAAAATGAAATTGTTCTTCCTACCTACTTCACTTTCCCTTCCTAGTTCCCCTTTGGTCCTAAGTCCACATGTTTTAGTGCACAATGTTGGCAATGTTGAAATGGCTCTATTGTCTGGGATATATACCCTGGCTCTTGGTCTCAGTTGAAAAAGAATTCAGGACACGGACACACATGAGGAGTGGGTTCAGGAGCGGAAAGTTTAACAGAAAAATAAAAGAGAGAGAAAATGCTTCCTCATGTTGAGAAAGCGGGTTGAAGAGGGTCTCTTTGGTGGCGGAACCCAGTTTTGTACAGAGGGCTGAAGAGGCGGTGACTGATTTACAAAGGCTCAAGGTATTGGGTTGACCAGGTGTGCCATTTATGTAGCTGAGGAAAAGACTGGCCCTCCCACCCTAGCCTTTTATTATGCAAATGAGATCTCCATCTGGTGGCAGCCATGATGCTTGTACACGTGGCTTTATCTGAAGGCTGCTATGACACCTGGCACACGTGGTGACAGGGAAAAGAGGGTGGGAGACGCCATATTGGGTGGACCTGGTTTTTAGCCACAGGCATTGGCATATCAATGCTTGCAGGTCTGGCTTTTCAAGACACTTTTTGTTAGAAAAAAATGTTTTAGGGGTTGCTTTTTATTAAAGGAAATTTCCAAGAACTTTCACCCTTTCTAGCCACCTAAAAACAATTTCTTTTTATTAAAAATTTTATTTTTATTATACTTTAAGTTCTAGGGTACATGTGCACAACGTGCAGGTTTGTTACATATGTATACATGTGCCATGTTGGTGTGCTGCACCCATTAACTCATCATTTACATTAGGTATATCTTCTAATGCTATCCCTCCCGGCTCCCTCCACCCCATGACAGGCCCAGTGTGTGATGTTCTCCACCCTGTGTCCAAGTGTGATCATTGTTCAATTCCCACCCATGAGTGAGAACATGTGGTGTTTGGTTTTCTGTCCTTGCGATAGTTTGCTGAGAATGATGGTTTCCCAATCCATCCATGTCCCCACGAAGGACATGAACTCATCCTTTTTTACGGCTGCATAGTATTCCATGGTGTATATGTGCCACATTTTCTTAATCCAGTCTATCATTGATGGACATTTGGGCTGGTTCCAAGTCTTTGCTATTGTGAATAGTGCTGCAATAAACATACGTGTGCCTCTGTCTTTATAGCAGCATGATTTATAATCCTTTGGGTATATACCCAATAATGGGACGGCTGGATCAAATGGTATTTCTAGTTCTAGATCCTTGAGGAATCACCACACTGTCTTCCACAATCACTGAACTAGTTTACAGTCCCACCGACAGTGCAAAAGTGTTCCTATTTCTCCACATCCTCTCCAGCATCTGTTGTTTCCTGACTTTTTAATGATCGCCATTCTAACTGGTGTGAGATGGTATCTCATTGTGGTTTTGATTTGCATTTCTCTGATGGCCAGTGATGATAAGCATTTTTTCATGTGTCTGTTAGCTGCATAAATATCTTCTTTTGAGAACTGTCTGTTCATATCCTTTGCCCAATTTTTGATGGGGTTGTTTGATTTTTTCTTGTAAGTTTGTTTAAGTTATTTGTAGATTCTGGATATTAGCCCTTTGTCAGATTGGTAGATTGTAAAAATTTTCTCCCACTCTGTAGGTTGCCTGTTCACTCTGAGGGTAGTTTCTTTTGCTGTGCAGAAGCTCTTTAGTTTAATTAGATCCCATTTGTCAATTTTGGCTTTTGTTGCCATTGCTTTTGGTGTTTTAGTCATGAAGTCCTTGCCCATGCCTATGTCCTGAATGGTATTGCCTAGGTTTTCTTCTAGGGTTTTTATGGTTTTAGGTCTAATATTTAAGTCTTTAATATATCTTGAATTAATTTTTGTATAAGGTGTAAGGAAGTGATCCAGTTTCAGCTTTCCACATATGGCTAGCCAGTTTTCCCAGCACCATTTATTTAATAGGGAATCCTTTCCCCATCTCTTGTTTTTGTCAGGTTTGTCGAAGATCAGATGGTTGTAGATGTGTGGTATTATTTCTGAGGGCTCTGTTCTGTTCCATTGGTCTATATCTCTGGTTTGGTACCAGTACCATGCTGTTTTGGTTACTGTAGCCTTGTAGTATAGTTTGAAGTCAGGTAGCATGATGCCTCCAGCTTTGTTCTTTTGGCTTAGGATTGACTTGGCAATGCAGGCTCTTTTTTGGTTCCATATGAACTTTAAAGTAGTTTTTTCCAATTCTGTGAAGAAAGTCATTGGTAGCTTGATGGGGATGGCATTGAATCTATAAATTACCTTGGGCAGTATGGCCATTTTCACGATATTGATTCTTCCTATCCATGAGCATGGAATGTTCGTCCATTTGTTTGTGTCCTCTTTTATTTCATTGAGCAGTGGTTTGTAGTTCTCCTTGAAGAGGTCCTTCACATCCCTTGTAAGTTGGATTCCTAGGTATTTTATTCTCTTTGAAGCAATTGTGAATGGGAGCTCACTCATGATTTGATTCTCTGTTTGTCTGTTATTGGTATATAAGAATGCTTGTGATTTTTGCACATTGATTTTGCATCCTGAGACTTTGCTGAAGTTGCTTATCAGCTTAAGGAGATTTTGGGCTGAGATGATGGGGTTTTCTAAATATACAATCATGTCGTCTGCCAACAAATATTTATTAGCAAGACTAATAAAGAAGAAAAGAGAGAAGAATCAAATAGATGCAATAAAAAATGACAAAGGGGATATAACCACCGATCCCACAGAAATACAAACTACCATAAGAGAATACTATAAACACCTCTATGCAAATAAACTAGAAAATCTAGAAGAAATGGATAAATTCCTGGACACATACACCCTCCCAAGACTAAACCTCTTTTCATAATTTAATACCATTTATTTCTTTCTCCTGCCTGATTGCCCTGGCCAGAACTTCCAACACTATGTTGAATAGAAGTGGTGAGAGAGGGCATCCCTGTCTTGTGCCAGTTTTCAAAGGGAATGCTTCCAGTTTTTGCCCATTCAGTATGATATTGGCTGTGGGTTTGTCATAAATAGCTCTTATTATTTTGAGATACGTCCCATTAATACCTAATTTATTGAGAGTTTTTAGCATGAAGGGCTGCTGAATTTTGTCAAAGGCCTTTTATGCATCTATTGAGATAATCATGTGGTTTTTCTCGTTGGTTCTGTTTATATGATGGATTGTGTTTATTGATTTGCGTATGTTGGACCAGCCTTGCATCCCAGGGATGAAGCCCACTGATCATGGTGGATAAACGTTTTGATGTGCTGCTGGATTTGGTTTACCAGTATTTTACTGAGGATTTTTGCGTCGATGTTCATCAGGGATATTGGTCTAAAATTCTCTTTTTTTGTTGTGACTCTATCAGGCTTTGGTATCAGGATGATGTTGGCCTCATAAAATGAGCTAGGGAGGATTCCCTCTTTTTCTATTGATTGGGATAGTTTCAGAAGGAATGGTACCTGTTCCTCCTTGTACCTCTGGTAGAATTCGGCTGTGAATCCATCTGGTCCTGGACTTTTTGTGGTTGGTAAGCTATTAATTATTTCCTCAATTTCAGAGCCTGTTATTGATCTATTCAAGGATTCAACTTCTTCCTGGTTTAGTCTTGGGAGGGTATATGTGTCCAGGAATTTATCCATTTCTTCTAGATTTTCTAGTTTATTTGCGTAGAGGTGTTTATAGTATTCTCTGATGGTAGTTTGTATTTCTGTGGGATTGGTGGTTATATCCCCTTTATCATTTTTTTATTGCATCTATTTGATTCTTCTCTCTTTTCTTCTTTATTAGTCTTGCTAGCAGTCTATCAATTTTGTTGATTTTTTCAAAAAATCAGCTCCTGGATTCATTGATATTTTGAAGGGTTTTTTGTGTCTCTATCTCCTTCAGTTCTGCTCTGATCTTAGTTATTTCTTGCCTTCTGCTAGCTTTTGAATGTGTTTGCTCTTGCTTCTCTAGTTCTTTTAATTGTGGTGTTAGGGTGTCAGTTTTAGATCTTTCCTGCTTTCTCTTGTGGGCATTTAGTGCTATAAATTTCCCTCTACACACTGCTTTAAATGTGTCCCAGGCCGGGCGCGGTGGCTCATGCCTGTAATCCCAGCACTTTGGGAGGCCGAGGCGGGTGGATCATGAGGTCAGGAGATCGAGACCATCCTGGCTAACAAGGTGAAACCCCGTCTCTACTAAAAATACAAAAAATTAGCCGGGCGCGGTGGCGGGCGCCTGTAGTCCCAGCTACTCGGGAGGCTGAGGCAGGAGAATGGCGTGAACCCGGGGAAGCGGAGCTTGCAGTGAGCCGAGATTGCGCCACTGCAGTCCGCAGTCTGGCCTGGGCGACAGAGCGAGACTCCGTCTCAAAAAAAAAAAAAAAAAAAAAAAAAAAAAAAATGTGTCCCAGCGATTCTGGTATGTTGTGTGTTTGTTCTCATTGGTTTCAAAGAACATCTTTATTTCTGCCTTCATTTCGTTATGTACCCTGTAGTCATTCAGGAGCAGGTTGTTCAGTTTCCATGTAGTTGAGTGGTTTTGAGTGAGTTTCTTAATCCTGAGTTCTAGTTTGATTGCACTGTGGTCTGAGAGACAGTTTTTTATAATTTCTGTTCTTTCACATTTGCTGAGGAGTGCTTTACTACCAACTATGTGGTCAATTTTGGAAAAAGTACGATGTGGTGCTGAAAAGAATGTATATTCTGTTGATTTGTGGTGGAGAGTTCTGTAGCTGTCCATTGGGTCCGCTTGGTGTAGAGCTGAGTTCAAGTCCTGGATATCCTTGTTAACTTTCTGTCTCGTTGATCTGTCTAATGTTGACAGTGGGGGTGTTAAAGTCTCCCATTATTATTGTGTGGGAGTCTAAGTCTCTTTGTAGGTCTCCAAGGACTTGCTTTATGAATCTGGGTGCTCCTGTAATGGGTGCATATATATTTAGGATAGTTAGCTCTTCTTGTTGAATTGATCCCTTTACCATTATGTAATGGCCTTCTTTGTCTCTTTTGATCTTTGTTGGTTTAAAGTCTGTTTTATCAGAGACTAGGATTGCAACCCCTGCTCTTTTTTGTTTTCCATTTGCTTGGTAGATCTTCCTCCATCCCTTTAGTTTAAGCCTATGTGTGTCTCTTCACGTGAGATGGGTCTCCTGAATACAGCACACTGATGGGTCTTGATTCTTTATCCAATTTGCCAGTCTGTGTCTTTTAATTGGAGCATTTAACCCATTTACATGTAAGGTTAATATTGTTATGTGTGAATTTGATCCTGTCATTATGATGTTAGCTGGTTATTTTGCTCATTAGTTGATGCAGTTTCTTCCTAGAATCAATGGTCTTTACAATTTGGCATGTTTTTGCAGTGGCTGGTACCAGTTGTTCCTTTCCATGTTGAGTGCTTCCTTCAGGAGCTCTTGTAAGGCAGGCCTGTTGGTGACAAAATCTGTCAGCATTTGCTGGTCTGTAAAGGATTGTATTTCTCCTTGACTTATGAAGCTTAGTTTGGCTGGATATGAAATTCTGGGTTGAAAATTCTTTTCTTTAAGAATGTTGAGTATTGGCCCCCACTCTCTTCTGGCTTGTATAGTTTCTGCTGAAAGATCCGCTGTTAGTCTGATGGGCTTCCCTTTGTGGGTAACCCCACCTTTCTCTCTGGCTGCCCTTAACATTTTTTCCTTCATTTCAACTTTGGTGAATCTGACAATTATGTGTCTTGGAGTTGCTCTTCTTGAGGAGTATCTCTGTGGCGTTTTCTGTATGTCCTGAATTTGAATGTTGGCCTGCCTTGCTAGGCTGGGGAAGTTCTCCTGGATAATATCCTGAAGAGTGTTTTCCAGCTTGGTTCCATTCTCCCCGTCATTTTCAGGTACACCAATCAGACGTAGATTTGGTCTTTTGACATAGTCCCATATTTCTTCGAGACTTTGTTCATTTCTTTTTACTCTTTTTTCTCTAAACTTCTCTTCTCACTTCATTTCATTCATTTGATCTTCAGTCACTGATACCTTTTCTTCCACTTGATTGAATCAGCTACTGAAGCTTGTGCATGTGTCATGTAGTTCTCGTGCCATGGTTTTTAGCTCCATCAGGTCATTTAAGGCCTTCTCTATGCTGTTTATTCTAGTTAGCCATTCGTCTAATCTTTTTTCAAGGTTTTTAGCTTCTTTACGATGGGTTTGAACACCCTTCTTTAGCTTGGAGAAGTTTGTTATTACCGATTATCTGAAGCCTTCTTCTCTTAACTCGTCAAAGTCATTCTCTATCCAACTTTGTTCTGTTGCTGGCGAGGAGCTGCATTCCTTTGGAGGAGGAGAGAGAGACTCTCTGATTTTTAGAATTTTCCGCTTTTCTGCTCTGGTTTCTCCCCATCTTTGTGTTTTTATCTACCTTTGGTCTTTGATGATGGTGATGTACAGATGGGGTTTTGGTGTGGATGTCCTTTCTGTTTATTAGTTTTCCTTCTAACAGTCAGAACCCTCAGCTGCAGGTCTGTTGGAATTTGCTGGAAGTCCAGTTTTGCCTGGGTATCACCAGTGGAGGTGGCAGAACAGTAAATATTGCAGAACGGCAAATGTTGCTGCCTGATCGTTCCTCTGGAAGCTTCATCTCAGAGGGGCACCCGGCTGTATGAGATGTCAGTCGGCCCCCTACTGGGAGGTGTTTCCCAGTTAGGCTACTCAAGGGTCAGGGACCAACTTGAGGAGGCGGTCTGTCCGTTCTCAGATATCAAACTCCATGCTGGGAGAACCACTACTCTCTTCAAAGCTGTCAGACAGGGACGTTTAAGTCTGCAGAAGTTTCTGCTGCCTTTTGTTCAGCTATGCCCTGCCCGCAGAGGTGGAGTCTACAGAGGCACACCAGGCCTCCTTGAGCTGCAGTGGGCTCCACCCAGTTCAAGCTTCCCAGAGGCTTTGTTTACTTACTCAAGCCTCAGCAATGGTGGATGCCCCTCCCCCCACCTCACTTCCACCTTGCAGTTCGATCTCTGTTAGCTGTGCTTGCAGTGGGGGAGGCTCCATGGACGTGGGACCCTCCAAGCCACGCATGGGATATAATCTCCTGGTGTGCCATCTGCTAAGACCATTGGAAAAGCCCAGTATTAAGGTGGAAGTGTCCCAATTTTCCAGGTACTGTCTGTCATGGCTTCCCTTGGCTAGGAAAGGGAATTCCCCAACCCTTTGCACTTCCCGGGTGAGGCAATGTCCCACCCTGCTTCAGCTCACACTCTGTGGGCTGCACCCACTGTCCGACAAGCCCCAGTGAGATGAACCCAATACCTCAGTTGGAAATGCAGAAATCACCCATTTTCTGTGTCGCTCACGCTGGGAGCTGTAGACTGTAGCTGTTCCTATTCAGCCATCTCGGAACCTCTAAAAATAATTTCTTAATAACTCCTGTATTATTTCCCCCCTCTACAGACATAAACTTAACTGCCGTTAGGGGGTATTGGATGACGATTCTTTCTGGCTACTTCCTGCTAAAAAGGGGCATCTTGTTGGAGGACAGTGGTTGGGCCTCCTCTTGAGGTCAATCTAAGTGTTCTCAGAAGAATGGTGTGTCCATGTGTGGCTCTGTCTGCAGCACCATTTGGGGTTTGATTGCTTCTAGGTGAAAAGAGATAAATTTTACAAGGAGGTTTAAAATATAGGATTAGAATATGAGTATCGAGATTACCACTGTTAATGGAGGGCCTATAGACCATAACTATGACAGTAGAGTTTGATACCTGTTAGTTACACCAATGGATTGTAATACCAGTTTGCCTCCACTAGATGTCGCTGTACATAATCAGAAACATTCATATAAAAGTAACATTCCTTTTAGGAAAAGTGGCATTGGATTGGGTGGCTAGAATAACTTTAGTGTTAACCTTGGCTACATTTTTCCTGCAATTATCAATCCTTTCATGACTTCCACAGAAAATCTCTTTCCTTTATAACCTTTGCATAACCAGGATGTGACATATTACCAAACCCAATAAGAAGTTCTAGCAAACTCAGTGATAGTAAAACTTTCATGCTTCCCTTTTGTTGGCAGCTATTATCCCTACTATAAGGATAATAATTAAGCAAAAAATATTGCAGCAATGGAAACTCTCCGTCCAATATTTCAATTAAAAGGTGCTACCGGCCAGGCGTGGTGGCTCATGCCTGTAATCCCAGCACTTTAGGAGGCCGAGGTGGGCGGATCACCTGAGGTTGGGAGTTCGAGACCAGCCTGACCAACATGGGAAAACCCCGTCTCTACTAAAAATAAAAAAGTAGCCGGGTGTGATGGCGCATGCCTATAATCCCAGCTACCAGGGAGGCTGTGGCAGGAGAGAATCGCTTCAACCCGGGAGATGGAGGTTGCAGTGAGCCGAGATCCCGCCATTGCACTCCAGCCTGGGCAACAAGAGCGAAACTGAGCCTCAAAAAAACAAAACAAAACAAAACAAAAAACAGTGCTACTGTGTATAGCTCTACTACAAATAGTAGAGTGAGTAGAGCAATTCCTGCAAGTGTGGTGTAAGTAGATAATTTCCATCTAAAATTTTACTTGCTAAGATATAGAATTTCCCTTTGGGGATCTATAAAGTTCCTTGGTTCTATTTCCCTAAACAAAGAAACCTCTGAGTTATGGGCACCCTATTCACTCTCATTACCTGGCAGAATTTACAGGATAATTGCCCAGAACTAGCATATTGATCTAGATTTTCACATTACCTATGCCTTTTTGTTTCTTCCAAGCTGCAGGAGATCACCACTTGATTCACAGGAATAAGCAGGGTTAGTCTAAAATGTAGGCAAAAAGCTGAAAAACAATTAATGAGACTATGATTTAATGACAAATGTATGATAAGCTTTGGAGCATAATGATAAGCTTTAGAGCATAGTTTCTCTCTCTAGTCCCCATTTTTGGTAAAAGCAAATTATGATAGTATTGTGTTGTTTGTAGAATAAACTTTAGTTTTATATTTGGCCTGATTATTTGCATAAAGTACAGTAAGAATAATTATTTCTATGTAAGCCTTTTGGATTGGCTTTGATGGCACTCTGTTTCAAAAGGAATCTCAGATAAGACCTCTTAAAGCCCAGCCATGAGTTTTTATCCTGTGAGTCCCAAGATAAACTTGGAGCTCCTGGACCTGTTAGAAAGTGACATTCTTTACTGACCACAGATTAGGAACCCTGTGCGGGGACTGTGTAGACAAGGGATGAGGCCAGTTCTCCCCAAGAGGCTTTTATCGGCACTGGAAGTAAAGATAGACTCTTAAAGGGAAGCATACCCTTTCGGTCAAAGCCTTGGTAAAATAACTAGCTTTTCCAGTTGTGTCCTGTTGAAAAAGAAAAATGGATCTTATTGCACTGATGCAAACAACTATATTTCCATAAGTTAAGAGTACTCACAGGCAGTTTCCAACTTCTAGAGGAACCAGGCAGACAGAAACAAACGTGCTCCAAATTTTGTTTGCAGGAGTATACCTTACTCAATTATTAAAGGCCATAAATAGTTTAAAATAAGTTTTCTTAACTCTGAAAAACAAAACAAGGATCAGCAACATTCCAAGTAAAAGTCAAAAAGGTTGCTTTAACTTTCTGAGTGCAGTCCATTTAGTTAACTCTTGTATTGCTTGACATTCGTGAACATTTCAGTTCTTCATGAGTCCCACACATTCTTTCTCTATTCCAATGTTACAATCTTCAAGGCTATTAAAAACTCACATTTGAGAACACCTGTTCAAGTTTTATAGCTTGATTATAACCTATCTTTTAAGAAGGAACAAAGCAAGACAAAATGGTCTTTGAATGACAAAATTTCCAGGATAGTTACAGTTAAAAACATGACTGACAGGCTGGGCATGGTGGCTTATGCCTGTAATCCCAGCACTTTGGGAGGCCAAGGCAGGCTGATCACGAGGTCAGGAGATCGAGACCATCCTGGCTAACATGGTGAAACCCCGTCTCTACTAAAAATACAAAAAATTAGCCAGGCATGGTGGTGGGTGCCGGTAGTCTCAGCTACTCAGGAGGCTGAGACAGGAGAATGGCATGAACACGGGAAGTGGAGCTTGCAGTGAGCCAAGATCACGATACTGCACTCCAGCCTAGGCAACAGTGTGAGACTCCATCTCAAAAAAAAAAAAAAAAAAAAGACTGACAAAGAAATTTAGTTATCTCCATGGCTTATAACTTTACCCCTAATTACTATTGATAGCATATATTTAGACATTAAAATTTTAGAAATCCCATACAATTTTGGAACATATGTTAGTATTATTCATCAAAATATAACTTAAAGAAGATTGGACATCGTTTTGGCAATTTCATGTGACAAAACATGTCAAATAATCCTGTTCACCTCTTTTCTGAATGTTTCAGGGGCCCTCTGAACCATCCAGAAAGCCAGGCATCAGGAAAGACAATTTTGAAACTTAAAGTTTGATTTTTGGGTGCCTGTTAAATGTTAGAGGTTTAAAACACTTGATGTTATGAAATAGAATTCCAAATTGCCATAAATTATTTATTTTGCCAAAACGATGACTCAAAAAGCAAAAATTTTTATTATCCTTTATTATTACATGAAAATCCTGTTTAAGCAAAATTTTACCCTTGCATTAATTTACTGATATCAATCCCAATTTCTTTAAATGGAAGCTTATAGATGATTCCATCTAATCTTAACCAATTTGACCATGAGGTGAAATCTTTACAAGCCCTTTATAACCTCTTTTACTAACGGGCAGATTAGTGTCTTAAGACACCCTTGTTGTGCTTTTATTTCAATGCTCAATTTATGAAAAGACCATGTAATATGCTTTTGAATTTAGTTAGGTTTACACATTTTTGCAAGATTAATTTTTACAATCTTTCCACAACTTACTTAAACATTTAGCTTTATCTTATTAAATGTAAGATAATCCCTTATTCCTGGGCAAAATTTGGATTTCCATGCTTTCTTATAATCTTTTACTAAAAAACACATTTCACTGTTTTTATATGCCTTGAATGTAAAACTGTTTAATGATCTCAAATACATGTTGCACTCTTAACTCTTAGCAACTTTTATTTTTGGTGAAAAGCCTGGTTAGTAAGTGTTTTTAATTGTTGTTGTGTTTCTTGAGACAGAGTCTTGCTGTCGCCCAGGCTGGAGCGCAGTGGCACGATCTCAACTCACTGCAACCTCCACCTCCTGGGTTCAAGCAATTCTCCTGCTTCAGCCTCCCTAGTAGCTGGGATCACAAGCACCCGCCACCATGCCCAGCTAATTTTTGTATTTTAGTAGAGACAGGGTTTCACCATGTTGGCCAGGCTGGTCTCGAACTCCTGACCTCAAGCAATCCACCTACCTAGGCCTCCCAAGTGCTGGAATTACAGGCATGAGCCACCGCACCCAGCCAGTAAGTGATTTTAGTTATGTACCAGCTTAAATATTAAAGTCACACGAACTAAAAAATATTTCAGTGCTTATTTTTTCTTTAAGCCAATTAATTGGAGCTCTTTTTATAGACATCACACAAAACACATACACAGCGACACAGACAGAAGATTCAGCACTTGTAAGATTTTTATTTGACGCTTTCATAACTGGATTACTGGCTTCAGGGTGGAGCCCTTGGAGGAACAGGGCCGGGATGGCATGCATCTTTAGGGACTAATAAGCAAGCACAGCCACAGGTAAAGACAGATCTGGAAAATTAAGGATGCCTTTTTATGCTGGATTTTTGGATCCCCAAAAGGAGGGAGAGCCATCTTTTAAAGAGTGTATTTCTTACTTAATTATTACACACCAAAGCTCTCTCCTAATGTGAAGTAATTTGATACCCCCAAAACTCAAAATGGCCAGATAACACAAGGCAAAACAGAACAGAGCCTTTGATTTTGAGAGGGAAGTATCTGCTTTTAATTCCTGGGGTTTCATGAGGAAAACAGAGGTTTTTTTCCCAAAACAATGTCTGTGGCACCTCCTCTGTTTTCCCACGGAGTCCCATGCTACCAGAAGTTATCTTAGGGCCTCTCATGTATGCATTAAGTGTGGCAAGACAAAAAACGGAGAAAAATAATTCAGTAGACTGAGAAGAAAAAAACCTTTTTCCAGAAAAACAAGATCCAAGAAGCGAAAACCATAAAGGCCTTTTAAATATACCTATAACTTGAATATCCACTTTTGATTAAGCTGAGTGCTGTTTAAGAAAATCCTTTTAAATCCCTTGTTACTCTACTTTAGCCACGCCAAGCAGTTAAGATTTTTCAGCTTTTGAACTTTACAAAAAGTAACCTCACAGGTGAAACCAACAAACCTTAATTAGGTTATGATTAACCACAGGTGTACAAGATATCTTCAAAGTGGGTGACAGGCAATTTTTGAAACCATCATTGCAAAATTGTCACTGAGACACTGAAAGAGATTCAACCCAACCAACTCCATTTTGTTTCCAGCCCCTAAGTCGTCCTTGCGCATCCCTGGGAGTGGGCCGAACCAATTTTGGGAGGAGCCTGATTTACAGTTTATAGTCTAAAACAAAGATGATAACAGCCACTTCATCATATATACTTCCTTCTTGCCTGGGGACCAGACCAAGAAACTAGCCACAAGATTAAAAACCATGGCCCAGGAGCCAAGCAGCTGGAGGCTACAAAACTCCGATCCTCCATCAGCTGCTCTCAAGATCAGTGCTTAAGATATTTTGTAAGCCCTACCCTTGAGCTGGCACCACCCAAATCAATAAAGTGGCTTATCGGATTTTGTGGCCTTCACCCAGGAACTGACTTAGCACAAGAAGACAGCCACCATTTAAAATGGCAGAGGCTAAAACAAAGAATTCCTACGTGGTTACAGGTCATGTTCCGAAGGACTTGAAACAAGATGGAGGCTTGTAGCCAAGTTTGTTACTATTTTGTTGAGCTGGCAATGAACAGCAGCCTTATGGGGTCCTGGGCCTGCATCCTAACCTAAGATGGTCTTTCTTTTGACAGAACCATACAGAAAGACACACAAAGCACACCAGATTGGCTACAGCTTAAGATCAACCTCACAAATCCTTTGTCATTATTTTTATGATCTTTTTTACCAGTTTGCACAGGGAGAGGGAAGCCAAAAGCTCGACTGGTAAATTTTTTTTTTTTTTTTTTGGAGACAGAGTCTCGCTCCATTGCCGAGGCTGGAGTGCAATGGTGCAATCTCGGCTCACTGCAACGTCTGCCTCCCAGGTTAAAGCGATACTCCTGCCTCAGCCTCCTGAGTAGCTGGGATTACAGGTGCCTGCCACCACACCCAGCTAATTTTTGTATTTTTAGTACAGACGGGGTTTCACCATGTTAGTCAGGCTGGTCTCAAACTCCTGACCTCGTGATCCACCTGACTCGGCCTCCCAAAGTGCTGGGATTACAGGCGTGAGCCACTGCGCTCAGCCTCGACTGGTAAATTTTTACTCTTTTTCCAGAATGTCAGGCTTCTGGATTCCCTTCCCCCCAGCTCAACTCTAAGCCAAGCATTTTAAGGTTTGGAAAATTAACATTTCCCAGGTTGGAAGAACATTATAAAAGATCCATTTTAAACTGTGAAAGAAGGAAAAACACCATAGACCTGAGTTAAATTGTGGAAGGTTTCTATATATTTAACAGGGTCGTCAGAAAACTGGCCTAAGTTTCCTTTTATTTGTCTAAGATCCTATAATGAGAAGGGAACTTGAAGGGGTCCCAAATAAGAGGGATCCTCAGATGGTTCCCCTGGAACTTGCTTCTCTAATTTCGGGGAATTATTCTCGTTGGGCCTGCCTGATATGATTGCTAAAAGAGCTGGGTTGATTTTGCAATGCTTGCAAAGGTCTAGTAAAAAGGCCATGCCCTTATGCAAAAGAAAATGAGCTGCTTTTTCTTTAAAGTCTCAGGGTGAAAGATGCCCCCAGCACCTCAGAATGCACTTCAGGGGAGTGCAGGCTGAAGACAGTACCCATCTAGAAAGGGAAGCAAGAATAAAAGCGTTCTTTTAGTCTCCTTCCTTTCTTTGTGACCCAGGATGGAGGGGAAGACAGTGGGAGCATCCCCATGACTGTTTTCTCTTTTTGGTTCCCAAGTTATGGCACCATGTTAAATGTGCCACCCATGATTGCAGGCATGACCCTCCAAGCCACAGCACCAGAGGAACTAAGATTTGGGCCTAGCTGTGCTCCTCCAAGCAGCTGTAGTCCTCTGCCTATGATTTCCCTTTGACTTCCTAGACCTGTGTGACCTGTGTGCCTCCCTAAAAAAAATGAATCTCAAGAAAAACTAAGTAATTGGGCAAGGCCCCTTTAATGGGGGGTATGCTAGATTGAACCCTATATTCTGCTATTATGGCCCATGCTAAAGCATTTACTCTTAGAAAAACGGTTCCCGTTAACCTCTGAAACTAAAATCCTCTTATTAATTAAGTACTGTTCTAATTGGAAACAGACTAAGTTTCTTAAAAGAATGTAGGGACTGAATGGCCGTTTTCCTGCTGTTGGGACAGCATCAGAACTAAAATTTGGCTATGGAGGACATTTTACTCCTAACTGCTGAAGGCAGAACTTTCCTGTTCACAGAGGGGGCTTAGAGCCTGATTTCTGGTGGCGCAAAAGGAAGGTGCACTGTAAGGCAAAGGAAGGACCCGCAACATGCCTCATGAAGAGGATTTCTATTTCTACTAGGAGGCGCTTTTTGGCTTAGAAATACCATGTGCTCACCAGATAAATGGTAGAGAGAGATGCTTACTAAGTTACTGCCTGCCACGTTTGCCGATCTTTTCTAACAGACCTGTTTCTCTGAACTGTAAAAATTTCCACACATCACATACACAGAGAATAGACGTAGCAACCGCGGATAGAAAAGAAAGGAAAATTTAGCAACAGGATAGCTGGAAGAGAGCCTTGAGATTAAAGGATGGATTTGAGGTTCATTCCATACTCACCACTCCAATGTGTCTATCTTCTGTTCTGATCCAGATTCTGGGCAAGAACCCAAAATGAAATGGCTTCACTGTCTGGGGTATATACCCTGGCTCTTGGTCTCAGTCAAGAAAGAATTCAGGACACAGACACACATGAGGATTGGGTTCAGGAGCGGCAAGTTTAATAGAAAAAGAAAAGAGAGAGAAAATGCTTCCTCGTGTTGAGAAAGCAGGTGGAAGAGGGCCTCGTTTGTGGCGGACTGCAATTGGTTTGTACAGAAAGTTGAGGGGGCGGTGACTGATTTACATAGGCCTCAGGGGATTGGGTTGACCAGGTGTGCCATTTACTTAGCCCGTGAAAAGACTGGCCCTCCCACCCTATCTTTTATTATACAAATGCGGCCTCCATCTGGTGGCGGCCATGATGCCAGTACACGTGGTTTTATCTGGAGGCTGCCATGACATCTGGCACACATGGTAACAAGGAAAAGAGGGTGGGAGATGCCATATTGGGTGGACCTGGCTTTTAGCTGCTGGCATTGGCATATCAATGCTTGTAGGTCTGGTTTTTCAAGACACTTTTTGTTAGAAAAGAAATGTTTCGGGGATCGCTTTTTATTAAAAAAAAAAAAATTCCACTGAGAACTTTCACCCTTTCTAGCTGCCTAAAAATAATTTCTTAATAATGCCTGCATTAATATCAGTATTACACCACATGAATTGCTCCTGAATAGGATTTTCAATTTAAGACGTCATAACAAAGTTTCAAAAGAGCAATTGAGGAGTGGATAAAGTTCCCATGAGAACGAACTTTCTCTCAATTCTCTACGGGATTCTGATGAATAAAAGAAAGAAACTTGTTGAACATGGAACAGTTCTGTAGAACAGGCCAGGCTTCCCAAATTTGCACTGGCCATCAGATTTTTATCAGTCTAGGAAGTAAAACACTTAGGTATGCCTTGAATACAAAAAGTGCTCAATATACATCTAACCAAATTGAACTGATGAAATGGACCTCCAAGTTCTTCAAGCTGCTAAGCTTATATTTTTAGGTTTGATTCATTTAGTAAATATTTATTGAACCCCTACTTTACTGCAGGGCCTTTTCAGGGGTTGGGGCAGCTGCAATGTAAAGGCAGACTGGGTTCATGCCTTCTTGTAGCTCATGTTCTAAAGGGAGAGTCAGATAATAAACAAAACAAGGGTGCACAGTGATAGGGATGGAGGCTTGTGGGAAAAAGATTAAATAGGGCTGTTAGAGAGAGATTCTGGGAAGATATATTTCACCTAAGGCCTGAATAATAACAAGGATCCAGCCAAATGAATACCAGGGAAGACCAATGAGAAGGAAAAACAAGAATGAAAGCCCTAAGGTGGAAAAAAGGCAGAGTGTTTGAAAAACAAACAAAAAATAATACGAACTGGCCAGAACACAGTAAAAAATGAGGAAGATGGTGCTAGATGAGATTGGAGAGTCACGTAAGGGCCATATTACATAAAGCTGGGTAAGCCATGGTGAGGAGGACGGATTGTTTTTTTACATATGGAGAAATATCTTTCTAGAAAATTCTCAGTAAGATGGTCTCTTTCACGTCATTTCACATGCTACTGTGTTCACTTACCATCAACTTCCAAGAAGCAAGCAAATGAAATGAAAATGTTTTCCCTTAACTTTTTCGTATGTTAATTCAACCACAGTCACTTAACACACAGGGAAAAGTTCTTTTTTAAAAGAACTTTTAAAAAAAGAGGATACTGTCCAGGAGCAGTAGCTCACACCTATAATCCCAGTGCTCTGGGGGGGCCAAGGTGGGAGGATCACTTGAGCCCAGGAGTTCGAGACCAGTCTGGGCAACATAGTGAGACCCCGTCTCTATAAAAAAATTAAAAATTAGCTCGATATGGTGGCATGAACCTGTGGTACCACCTACTCAGGAGCCTGAAGTGGGAGGATCGCTTGAGGCCAGAAGTTCGAGGCTACAGTGAGTTATAATCACGCCACTGCAGAGGGAGATTTGTGTCTAAATAAATAAATAAACAAAATGAGAATATAGTTGTATGTGTTTGGAGGAATATAAAAGAGAATTCTTGACAAAGGGAGTCAAGGAAATTCAAAATTGGAGCAGAATTTTTCTTCTTCTTCTTGTGCTATGCCACACAAGATGGATCCTGAAAGTAGTAAGATCTCTCAGTGTGTCACCATGCTGAACAAGCCAGGACTGGTGCCACAGGCTTGAAGTGATATTTACTCTACTTCGATTTAGTTCGTGTTGCAATGGTCACATTATTTAAAGGTACTTTTAAAATTTTCGTGTTCTTCCCTCCCATTTTGGTGTATACACCCAGATGCTTCTCCTTATATTCTACTCTTTATTAATCTTATTTTTGTTGCCACAGCCTAATCCAGGTAAACATTTTCCATCCTTACAAGTGCAGGATTACTTGGTTAGGGTTTGCCAACCAGTGTAAAACATACCATTTCCATCAATTTAAGGGATTGCTAAGACTGAAAGGCAGTCATGAAGAAGTTATTTGCTAGTTAGGGCAAGGGTAATGGTACGATGGAGACAAAACAATTTCATTCGAAGACTTTAAGGGACTCATTTTCCACTGTCACTTTCACCATAATACACAATTTCCCCTCAAATAATTCAGGGATCAAAAATTGTCAAGAGGAATGAAGCCAAGACATAGTATACCAACCCTACAGATAGAAATGTTCCACCTGCCGTCTTCTCTGCCTAGTTGAGTAATGAAACACTTCACTGAAATGTAGTTCTTTGTAAACACTTAAAAAGGTGGTTTTGTTTCTTCTATTATAAAACTATTTAAGTCCATAAAATGGAGATGTTGTAAAAATGATGAAGTCTTGGCCGGGTGCAGTGGTTCACGCTTGTAATCCCAGCACTTTGGGAGGCCAAAACAGGAGGATCACTTGAGGCCAGGAGTTAGAGACCAGCCTGGGAAACATAGTGAGACCCTGTCTCTGTGGGAAAAAAAATGTTTTAAAAAATAGCCAGACATGGTGGCTCACACCTGTAGTCCTAGCTATTCAGCAGGCTGAGGTGGGAAGATTGCTTGGAGTCAGGAGTTCGAGGCTGCTATGATTGTGCCACGGCACGCCAGCCTGAGTGACAGAACTTCTGTCTCTTAAAAAAAAGTAAAGTCTGTTTTATTGAAACTACCAAAAGGCTATATAAAGAGAGCCAAAAGAGTATCCACTCCTGTGAACAATTATATAACAAGGTTATCTCAAGTCAAAGAGTACATAGATTGCACACTAAAATCTTGTCTTAACCCCACAATTGCTCTCTCATTTCCACAATGCACTAGTCAAAAATCCTCGCTGCTTCTGCTCCCAAACCTCATCCAATCTATGCCCTCCACTTTTACCCACACAGACTATCCTTCGAACTTGTCTCCTGATTGACCTATATTCATTTTACCTCTCACATTCACGCTGAAGTTACCGTTCTGAAATACATTTTTGATCGTGTTATTCCTCTGCATGAACACATTAAATAGCTCCCTATCAACTAGAGAATAAAGTCTACAGCACACGAGGCCTGCAGAATCTGGCCCCAACCTACATTTCCAACTTCCTCTCCTGCAGTTATCCCGTTTATCCCATACACTAGAAAACTATGGTTTTACTTTAACCAAGCAATAGTTTGTCACACTCCATTACACCTCTGTGCATTATTCCCTTGGACCATAATATTTTTCCCCCTTTTCTGCCTCAAAAACTCCTACTAATTCTTTACAGCCAAGCTTAAACATCAGTTTCTCTGTGAGGAGTCCCTAGTTCTCCAAAGCATAATTTAAAAACTCCAAAATGTTTTGTCCCAGTAGCTCTTGGTATACACCAGTCTCACAACTAAGATTATCGTCGACTAAAGTGCTGTCAAATATAAATATGCATGCCACATGTGTAATTTCAAATTTCCCAGTAGTCTCATGAAAAAGGTAAAGAGAAATTGGTGGATTTTAATAATATATTTTAACTATTTAATCAAAAATAGGACCATTTCAACATATACTAATACAAAAAATATAACAAGAAAGTCACATTTTTTCACTACTAATTCTTTGAAATCCAATACATATTTTATACTTGCAGCATATTTTAAATTCAGACACTAAGCTATGATGGTTAATATTGTCAACTTGATTGAAGGATGCAAAGTATCATTCCTGGGTGTGTCTGTGAGGGTGTTGCCAAAGGAGATTCACATTTGAGTCAGTGAACTGGGAGAGACAGACCCATCCTCAATCTAGATGGGCACCATCTAATCAGCTGCCAGCGTGGCTAGAATAAAGCAGGCAGGAGATGGAAGAGCAGACTTGCTGAGTCATCTGGCCTTCATCTTTCTCCTGTGCTGGGTGCTTCCTGCCCTCAAACACTGGACTCCAAGTTCTTCAGCTTTTGGACTCTTGGACTTACACTAGTGATTTGCCAAGGGCTCTCAGGCCTTCAGCCACAGACTGAAGGCTGTACTGCCGGCTTCCCTACTTTTGAGGTACTGGGACTCTGACTGGCTTCCTTGCTCCTCAGCTTGCAGACGGTCTATTGTGAGACTTCACCTTGTGATTGTAAGAGTCAATTCTCCTAATAAGCTTCCCTTCATATATATATATATATGTATGTATCTTATTAGTTCTGTCCCTCTAGAGAACTCTAATACACTAAGCTGTTTTCCAAAATAACTGATCTGCATTTACATTTCATAAAATGTATAATTGAAAAAGTAGATTCACATACCCAAATTGTTCTAAATGTACTTGAAAGTTTTCTAATAACTGAATCAAATATCAGTTTTCTATTTTAAATTGAAATAAAAATTAAATAACAGCTGAAACTTTCTCAGTCACTATATTTCAAGTACTCTAGTGTACTAGAATGCAGCTAGTGGCTATTATATTGGACAATATAGCTTGTAATTATTTGTGTATACATCTCTCTTCCGTACTTAATTGGACCATGTCTAACTTGCCTGTATCCTCCCCACTGCCTAGCATAAAGCTTGAACACACAAATGGAGCTTTATGAAAGTTTGTTGAATAAGTAAAAATAAATGTGGCAGACACTTGACTCTAGGGCAACATGAAATCAAGAGCATTCTTTTGTAAAAAATATAAACGGTGTTTTTATGAATACATATACACACTCAAAACACACACACACACAATTCCTCATACACACAAGCACAAGTACGTGCATACAAGCACAGGCCTGCAGCATTATTCACAATAGCCAAGATATGGAAACAACCTAAATGTTCATTGATGGATGGATAAAGAAAATGTAGTGTATACATAAAATGGAATACTACTCAGCCTTAAAAAAAGAAGGAAATCCTGCTATATGCGACAACATGGGCAAACCTGAAGGGCATTATGCTAAGTGAAATAAGTCAATCACAGAAGGACAAATACCCCATGTCCACTTATATGAGCTATCTATAAAGTCAAACTCATAGAAGCAGAAAGTAGGATGGAGGTTGCCAGGGTTTAGGGGAAGGGGGAAATGGAGAGTTGCTGTTCCGTGGGTATAGTTTCAGTTATACATGAATACATTCCAGAGATCTGCTGCACAACACTGTGCATATAGGTAACAAGACTGTATTGTACACTTAAACATTGAAGAGAGTAGAGCTCATGTGAAGTTCTTACCACACACACACACACACACACAAAAAGAAAACTAATCGCAAAAAATAAAACAACAAAAAAAACAACTCTGGTGTGGGATATTGATAGTAAGGAAGTCTAAGTTGGGGAGACGCAGGGGGTGCATGAAAACGATGCTGTCTTCCTCAATTTTTCTGTGAACATAAAACTGCTCTGAAAAACAAAGTGTGCTTAAAAGAAAGAGAAAAGAAAATCAGTTAAGTACATTCAATTTGTTAGTAATTCCTTCAATAATAAAAATTCATTGAAACATATTACTCCCCCTTCCTCTGGGCCTTCATCCCTCTTTTCTCCTTGCCTTAATGCATGTATGGGTATGCTACATAATTAGCGCTTCATCATGTGTTTTTATATTCTCTAGTTGTTTTGCCTTCTCAAGTTGTATTTTAAGCTTCTGGAGATAGAGATCTTCCTTGTATTTTGTAACCGTTATCACACATGGTTTAATGGTAATAATGAAATGCAAGAATTTAATATGTGACATATCATCAATTCTCAGATGACTTTTTTAAGTAAAGCCTTTCCCAATCAATTCCAGAAGCCTAATCTCTCAACAACACTCACATTGATAGCACTATCTCTGGACAGCTAGGACCCAGACCTACTCATATTGGCAATTTTTCTCTAATATGCTACAATGTGTTTTCATCTGCAATTGTTCTTTACTCTCAAGAAAGTGGGATCATGTTTCTGACCTTTGATACAGCACCCCACATCACTTAGTGCAATGCTTTCATCAAAATGGATCTTTCCATAGATGCTGATTCCTGTTCCCATTTCCCACTCCCATCTCCTCCAACCAGCCACAAGATGCAACAATGACATGGCGAGAGAGAATTCTGTAAGGGCGGCAATCTCCTTGGCCTTGTTGCTCTATATCCCTAATAACAGGTAACTCTGATAAATGAGTGCACACATGTAAATTTCCACAAAGGGAATTATAGTAGGTTTATCTTTTATTCTAATGTTGCTAGAATAAGAACAAAATTAAAATAAGCACACACACACAAAATGCCTCTGTGAATCAGTCACAGGATTTCTCTAAGTCTGGGCTGGTGTCCTTTCTCTTCTGCTGCTTGCATAGCTCTTTGATGTTCTCTATCTCTGCAGGACTAAACTTGGAGGTTAGCATCACATTGTCATAATCAAATTCTTCATCAAGTGAAAAAAGTTGAACTTCATCTCCAAGTATCTATAAAAGGTAACAAAGGAGGAAAAAACATACACAATCATTGTAAATGAAGATAAAGTTGAAAAATTAACTCCCTATTAATATTTAATTAAACCTTTTTTCAGACTTCAGCACTCTCAGCTGATTAAGCTGTTTTTAAGTAAAGAAATAAATTTAATTATTCAATTTGACCTAATTTAAGCCTCTTAATATGCTCCATTTGTACCATGCTCTATCTGAATGAATATCATTAACTAATGCTGCCCAAGGCAAGAATCAGAAAGTCTCCCTTGCATATACTCATTATACATTTTACCACTTGTAGTGTCAGGACTACAGAAGCATACAGAAAAACCAACAGTTATATTAAAATGTGAGAAAAATATACACTAAGATTTTTTTATCAACCTTAAATAGATTTTCACCATTTGCTAAAAAAGATCTATATTAATAAAACTTACTTTTTAAAGATAAAAATACCCTACATTGAATATACTTCTTCAGATAATACCTATAACTCTTGGCTAATAACAGTAAAACTTGAAACATATTTTAAATTTAAAAGTCCAGGATCTCTTTGTTTCTACCAAGAATTTAAAAATATTACAGTTTATCTATAAGTAAAGTAGTTACAAAGAGATGTAATAATTTTGAATCTATTCATAATTTGTGAGTTTTAAAGACTTCCTAAAGGAAGGCAGATAAAAAAGCATATTTTCCAATAAACCAAGAGTATGCCTTAAATCTCTTGTATCGCCCCCTAAAAAGCCTCTCCAAAAACAAATGGTGTGTGATACAATGAAATCATCCAGTACTTCTATGTAGCTCCACAATATGCATAGTGATGCTGAAATAATTGAAAACTATGGTTTATGCAAGAATGAAAAAATGTCCCGAAGCTATAATCAGCTTTAAATATTCTTGCATGGAAGATGATCTCATTGAGTGGCTTATGCAATGTTCGTAAAAATGTAGCATGTAGCTCAGAAACTATCTGCTGTTACTAAAGGTGAAAGAAAAAATAATGAGTAGTTATCTCCTATCTGTTCCACAAGTTATGTTTTGAAGTTAGGTGTGCAGTGCTAATAGCAAACGCTCAGCCATTTATCATCTTTTGTTAGTAAAATCAGCAGGAGAACAACTTCTGGAGATGCGTTCATTTCCTGTTTATCAGAAAGGACCTTAGTGCTTTCCTGACAAAACTGCCACTGGGTTTCCATGGTGAGTTTGCCACGGTGAGTTTCCACCATGTGTCAGCCCTGATACTAGGAACCACGTGGCATCAGCAGTGATATTCAAGCAACCCTGCTGGTAGTCACTGTTACCCCTACCTTATAAAGCTCTGAAAGGTTAAGTAACTTGCCCAAAATACACAGTTAGTAAGGGAGAGAAGCAATATTTGGATCCAGGGTAATCTGCTTCAAATAAAGCCTCACCTGCTCAACAGAAACACCAGCAAGAATCAACCTTGAAGTTTCCACTAAGCCAAGTCACAGCCTTTGGAGAGAAGACCTTTTCTAAATAAGATGATCCATTCTCACAGCCTACCATTAGAAAACTGTACTCAAGGCTACATGTAATACCATGACTATCTTAAAACCCAGCTGTACACAAAAAGCAAATCAGCCTGCAAGGCTGATCAGTCCATTTTGATCACTGTCTGAGATCAAATTTATCATCAACACAGCCAAAGTGACAGTGGGACAATCTTGCTTAGATGGCTCAAATGCAGAAACACACACACACAATGACACAAGATGTTCATTTCCTGAATGTTAACTGTTCTTGCTGTCTCCAGCTCTACTCAGCAGTAAGTACTGAGGCCTGCAGGCTTGGCTACAACACCATCTGGAGCCGATTCTAGCTGATCCTGGCAAAACATAAGGAGGAGAACCTGTTTCCACCAATATATTCAGTCTGATGGGAATTTTGCTGCCCTTTCATGCCTGGGTAAAGGCCTTTCATCACATGTCTATTAAGCTTCAAGCTGCCTATACCTGCATGTGTCCCCTATACTAGGTCTTTAAATTCTACCTTCAAGCCTCTAAAACCTGCCTACACCTTACTAGCCATCCTCACTAGATGCAGTCACTTTGTCTTCACCCACCTCTCACTTAGGGGTTAGAATACAATTTCAAATTAGACAAATCCGTTTGCTGTGTTAAAATCTCAGTGACACCATACCATGCCCCCGACTCCCTCTACAGAACACAAATAACCTCAATCCCCACCTCCCTTACCTTTACTTGTTCACTCAATAAACATTTATTATATAGCAGATTCTGGGAACATAAAGTGATTATAGCAAAATCTGTGTCTACAAGGTTTCATAACTTCAAGGAGAAGACAAAAGTATAGGAATGATTTCAGTATCACGTGCTTTGCTCTCCAATAGAGGAATGCAAAAAAGGGAAACAGAAGCATAGAGAGGAAAGTGCAGAAGCTTCACTTACTCTTCTATTTTTTTTTTTAAACAGAGACTCCCTCTGTCACCCAGGCAGGAGTGCAGTGGCATGATCTCAGCTCACTGCAACCTCCGCCTCCCAGGTTCAAGCAATTCTCCTGCCTCAGCCTCCTGAGTAGCTGGGACAACTGGTGCATACCACCAGGCCTGGCTAATTTTTGTATTTTTAGTAGAGATAGGGTTTCGCCATGTCGGCCAGGCTGGTTTCAAACTCCTGGCCTCAAGTGATCCACCCACTGCAGCCTCCCAGAGTGCTGGGATTACAGGCATGAGCCACTGTACCTGGCCTCTTACTCTTGATTGAGTTTTGCCAGTCTCCAGAAAATCCTACTAGCCTCCCCACACATCACTTCACTTATTACCTACCTCATCCTAGCAACCCAGATAAAGTAAGGCCTGTATTTCGGACTTACTTCTAAACTCTGATCAGGGCTCCCACGGCCAAGTTGGTTATAGATACGGCCCAACCCATTGCCTTCTTAAGATTCTCCCTTCCCTGAGGTCTCAAACTACCTTGTGGCTATAATATCCAAACTTATGGTACTAGAGATGTAGAAATTTATTCTTAAAAATAGAAACATCTTATTTTCCTTTAAGTTTTTTTTAAATACATTTACATTCTTCTCTGTCATGGAGGATGATTTTCTTCATCAGTCACTTGGTACTAACCATAACAATAACATGGAATAAAGTTTTCAGCAAGTCAGTAAAGATAATGTTAACACAAAGATTATTCATTTATAATATCCTTCAATGTATAAAAATATAATTAAAAATATAAATTTCTTCACTAAGAAATTAAGGGTTATCAACAGCAGCTATTAGATTTTCTAGGCAATCAGTTAGATACTGAGATACTAAAGCAAGAAATAAAAAATAGTAATAACGTCACATTTGCAATGCCAAAACATGACATTCAGGACACTCTAAACCATTTTGGAGATATACTGTAATGTGGCCAGTACATCCCTGAGTCGAAATGTCAGAGGAATAGCCTCCTGCAATCATTGAGATATTTTACATTCTTTCCACAAACTCTATATTCCTATTAAATTCTAGTCACTGTGTTAGGTGCTGGGGATACAAAGATGAAGACCTATATGAAATCACAAACAATGAGATAAACACATAAACAAATCATTAGAGTAAAATGTGGTAAGAACAGGGTGATGGGAACACAGAAGGAATACCTGACCCAGACTAAGTTGGAGGGGATTGGGAAGGAATCAGAGAAGGCGTCTTGGAACAGGTGATATCTGAGCTGACTCTTAAAGGGTAAACATTAGTTTACAAGTTGACAAAGGAGAGCTTTGCTGACGGGGAGTTTCCATGAGCAGACCATGGAAATAAGATGCAGAATTTCATATTTGTGAGTCTGAAAGTAGGTGAGCATTGTCAGAGCACAAAGTGTAAGTCGGAGAGTAGCAAGAGACAAATATGGTGCCAAATCATCCTAGAGATGATGAAAAGTCACTGAAGAATTTTTTGAAAGCAGGGAAAACATTTGGTCATCTATGCATTTCAGATAAATTCCTTCATCCATTAAATTTTTATTAAGTACCTACAATGAGACAGGTGCTGGAGTAAAAAAGAAGAAAAAAAATGCCCTGCCCTGTTGGAAATTATATGAGACAGGTCACTATGAAGGTTAAACAGAAGGTAGATTTGAGTGGGATAAGCCTGGAGCCAGAAGAGTACTCAGGAACCTGCTAAAGCGGTTCAGTAAGAGATCATGAGAACAGGGGACTGGTAGCAGAGATTTGAAAAATCCGTAGAAAGTGAAATTGGCAGCACTCGATAAGTGACTGGATATGGAAATGTAAAAAAAAGGAAGAATGCAGAAAGGGAAGCAGGTAAAGATAAGCAGAGTTCAATCTGAATGTACCTGAAGGAATCTAGATGAATTGAATATACAAACTTGAAACTGAAAAAAAAGGTGTGAAGCTAGAGATACCAATTTGGAGATGAAGACGGATTCAAGTATGTAGGCTGGGAAGAACTATAGGTTAAGCACAGAATGCAAAGGAACACCAACTCATAAGGGATGGATGGAGAGAAAACCCAAAGGAGTCGGGGAAAACACAATTTGAGAAATACATAAAGAATCACAGGAGATCATTGATGGACATTTGGGCTCCTGTGCAGCACACCAACATGGCACATGTATACATGTGTAACAAACCTGCACATTGTGCACATGTACCCTAGAACTTAAAGTATAATAAAAAATAAAAAAATAAAATAAAATAAAATAAAGAATCACAGGAGAAAAGTGAAGTGAGAACCAATGAAGCAAGAGTGCCAGAGGAAGGTCAATGGTGTCAAACACGGTAGAGAGATCCATTAAAAGGAAGACTGGAAAGTGTCCGCTGGATTTGGCAATCATAAAGCAATTGACGCCTTCATTCTGAAAACATCCAAGCAGGCAATTGAAGCCAAGGATATTTTACAATATATTGAAGAGTCTAATAGCTTTTCAATTCTGGATGAAAAGAGAGACATAAGAACAGACAGTAACCAAAGAGGGGTCCAAGATGAAGGGAAGCTTGTTTTCCTTGTTTTGTTTCATTTTGTTAAGGATAGGAAAGACTTAAACACGTTTACATGTTGACGGGAATGAACAAATAGAAAAGACAGAATGACCCCAACCACGTTGTTACTGTATACCAGAAAATCACTCCCATTTAGTGGTGAGGTTTATTGTTTATTTATGTGTTCATTTAATAAATGTTTACTGTATGCCTACTATATGCATGGCACTGAGCTCGGCACTAGTTCTGACTTTGCATGTTAATTACATAAGCTTATGATGACATGCATGAGTGAATTTAGTCTTCCAAGACAGGAGACACATAAGTAATTCAAAGTGAGCCCAGGTAGGGGCATACCGCAATTCAGAAGATATCACTGCGGTCTTCTAAATGACAGCTTTTCAAATACAGAAAGGTTGCATTTCTATGTATATATTTCAGTTATTGGCTGTTGTGGCATACTTTGGAAATTCTCTTCTTTCAAGTTCAGTTCGTGTTAGAGTTCAAAGCTATAAGATGCCAAGGTTTTTAGATTACAAACTGAAATTATGATTTATTTCAGTAAAGACTTTGTGCAATGGAACACCAAGTCCCCTGCTGCTAAACAAAAACAACCATGAATTAAGTTATTAACTTGTTATTTTTGCCTAAGGAGCTGAAAGAAATATGTGGATTTCAGGTGTCTAATTTCAAATCTAATTGAAACTTTTTTGTAGCCTCTCAGGGAATAAAATTTGTACACTATTGGAAAACTTTGAGTCCCCTTAAAATTTCTCATGTGACTTATTCTAACAGAGACACTGTTGATGGAGAGATTGTTTTCATTCATAGTACCACATAGGCAAACTAAAGAAAATAGAACTAATGCTTACATCAATAATGGCAGCATTTAGCTGTAGGCTACTATACAAAGTAATATGGTAAATAAACTGTCTTTATAGGTGAAAATTTTTAGAGTCCTATTATGAATTGGAAAAACAGGAGAGCTCCTATTAAAATACCACACAAGTTTCTTCTATGACCTCTCCTACAGTTTTCACGGGGAGAGGGTGGGTATCACAAATTTTCATCCTCCTAATAACAACTCTCTTTGTTCTGTCTACAGAACAAAGCAGCTTGAAGCAGCTTCAAACTTCCAAAGTTCATCAAAATAAAGTAACTAAGGCAAGGTAATTCTATACACATAATTCTATATACAATTATGTATGTGTGTAGAACCAGTGGTAAAATCATGATTATCTCAATAGATGCAGAAAAGGCCTTTGACAAAATTCAACAGCCCTTCATGCTAAAAACTCTCAATACATTAAGTATTGATGGGATGTATCTCAAAATAATAAGAGTTACTTATGACAAACCCACAGCCAATATCATACTGAGTGGGCAAAAACTGGAAGCGTTCCCTTTGAAAACTGGCACAAGATAGGGATGCCCTCTTTCACCACTCCTATTCAACATAGTGTTGGAAGTTCTGGCCAGGGCAATCAGGCAGGAGAAAGAAATAAAGGGTATTCAATTAGGAAAAGAGGAAGTCAAATTGTCCCTGTTTGCAGATGATATGATTGTCTATCTAGAAAACCCCATCGTCTCAGCCCAAAATCTCCTTAAGCTGATAAGCAACTGCAGCAAAGTCTCAGGATACAAAATCAATGTGCAAAAATCAGAAGCATTCTTATACACCAATAACAGACAAACAGAGAGCCAAATCATGTGTGAACTCCCATTCACAATTGCTTCAAAGAGAATAAAATACTTAGGAATCCAACTTACAAGGGACGTGAAGGACCTCTTCAAGGAGAACTACAAACCACTGCTCAACGAAATAAAAGAGAACACAAACAAATGGAAGACCATTCCATGTTCATGGATAGGAAGAATCAATATCATGAAAATGGTCATACTGCTCAAGGTAACTTATAGATTCAATGCCATCCCCATCAAGCTACCAATGACTTTCTTCACAGAATTGGAAAAAACTACTTTAAAGTTCATATGGAACCAAAAAAGAGCCTGCATTGCCAAGACAATCCTAAGCCAAAGAACAAAGCTGGAGGCATCACGCTACCTGACTTCAAACTATACTACAAGGCTACAGTAACCAAAACAGCATAGTACTGGTACCAAACCAGAGATATAGACCAAAGGAACAGAACAGAGCCCTCAGAAATAATACCACACATCTACAACCATCTCATCTTTGACAAACCTGACAAAAACAAGAGATGGGGAAAGGATTCCCTATTAAATAAATGGTGCTGGGAAAACTGGCTAGCCATATGTAGAAAGCTGAAACAGGATCCCTTCCTTACACCTTACTCAAAAATTAATTCAAGATGGATTAAAGATTTAAATGTTAGACCTAAAACCATAAAAACCCTAGAAGAAAACCTAGGCATTACCATTCAGGACATAGGCATGGGCAAGGACTTCATGTCTAAAACACCAAAAGCAATGGCAACCAAAGCCAAAATTGACAAATGGGATCTAATTAAACTAAAGAGCTTCTGCACAGCAAAAGAAACTACCCTCAGAGTGAACAGGCAACCTACAGAATGGGAGAAAATTTTTGCAATCTACTCATCTGACAAAGGGCTAATATCTAGAATCTGCAAAGAACTTAAACAAATTTACAAGAAAAAAACAACCCCATCAAAAAGTGGGTGAAGGACATGAACAGACACTTCTCAAAAGAAGACATTTATGCAGCCAACAGACACATGAAAAACTGCTCATTATCACTGGCCATCAGAGAAATGCAAATCAAAACCACAATGAGATACCATCTCACACCAGTTAGAATGGTGATCATTAAAAAGTCAGGAAACAACAGATGCTGGAGAGGATGTGGAGAAACAGGAACACTTTTACACTGTTGGTGGGACTGTAAACTAGTTCAACCATTGTGGAAGACAGTGTGGCGACTCCTCAGCAATCTAGAACTAGAAATACCATTTGACCCAGCCATCCCATTACTGGGTATATACCCAAAGGATTATAAATCATGCTGCTATAAAGACACATGCACACGTATGTTTATTGCGGCATTATTCACAATAGCAAATTGTTGGAACCAGCCCAAATGTCCATCAATGATAGACTGGATTAAGAAAATGCGGCACATATACACCATGGAATACTATGGAGCCATAAAAAATGATGAGTTCATGTCCTTTGCAGGGACATGGATGAAGCTGGAAACCATCATTCTCAGCAAACTATCGCAAGGACAAAAAACCAAACACCGCATGTTCTCACTCATACGTGGGAATTGAACAATGAGAACACTTGGACACAGGAAGGGGAACATCACACACCAGGGCCTGTTGTGGGGTGGGGGAAGGGGGGAGGGATAGTATTAGGAGATATGCCTAATGTAAATGTTGGTGCAACACACCAACATGGCACATGTATACATATGTAACAAACCTGCACGTTGTGCACATGTACCCTAGAACTTAAAGTATAATAAAAATATATTTTTTTTTTGGAAAAAAAAAAAAGAACCAGTGGTAAAATTAGGGAAAAAATCTGAACCAAATAAATGTTAAATGTTTGAAGTGATGGATATGCTAATTACCCTGATTTGATCATACACATATATAGTACCAAAATATCACACTATACCCCATAAATACATACAATTATTATATGTTAATTTAAAAATTAAAAAAAACAAAATTAGGTAAAACATTGAGTTGGTCCAATTCATATCAGAAAGTTGATGGAATCTTAATAGGCAATTAAGAGAAAGTTAGGAAGGACATCCAGAATACATTTTCAGCTTTTCAGATTGAAATCACAGAAAGAAACCATCATCTCTAATCCCAAAATGGCCTTTCAGTAAGCCCTTCAGGACCCATTTGCTATAAACTAATGATTATGTTCTTTTACTAGCACTGGGTGCTTTAAGATGAATGTTATCAAACCAAGGCAGTGTTGGTACAGTACAGGTTGAATATCTCTTCTCCAAAATGCTTGGGATGAAGTGTTTTGGATTTCAGATTTTGGAAGGGTTGCAGAATATATACGAGTTGAGCATCCCTAATCCCCAAATCTGAAATCCATAATGCTCCAATGAGCATTGCCTTTGAGCATCATGTCAGCCCTCAAAAAGTTTCAAATTTTGGAGCATTTTGGATTTTCCCATTAGGAATGTTCAACCTGTATTGTGATTCTAGACGGTTGTGAAAAGTTACTCTAAAAAATAGTAATTAGAAATAAAAATTCCCAACCAAGATGTTACTTCAGATATTCAAAAAACAGCAGAAGTTGTTCATCTGTGGCTTGTATCATTTTGATTCCAACATTTTAAAATGTCCACATGTCTGGTAGGAAATTTATATTCCTCTTAAATATACCACCATATATGGGGTCTCAACTTGATTTATACTGCTATTTGATAGATTCCAGAAATCATTCAGTTTTTTTAACCCATTAATTAAAACCACTTTGTAACAATTTCTATAATTGTACTAGATTATATATATTCTCAAATTGTACTGAAATAAAATTGTATTTCTATAAAAGTACTAGGTGCCATGTCTACTGGCTGGTCCAATAACTTTTATGGCCACAAGTGAAGTCAACAGCATGAACAAATCTTAAAAAAGAAATTGAGTCCTTCTAGAAATAGTCTTATAATTTTAGCTTTTTACAACTCAGAGAAAGCAATCTATAATTCAAAAAGCATATTGAAAAGTGGCTGTCCCTACCAGTTTAGCCAGTAATCAATTTGGGAGTTTAATATAAGCCTGCACGCATCCTGGATATACTTTCATGATGTCAGTGAACAAAAGTACTTATTAGAAAGTGGCAATTTAAAACTGAAATGTGTGGATTATTTATGACTGAATGGCTAATTCTATAACAGAATATCTTTTAGTAACAAGACTAGTACCTCATGATTAAATAATCCAAAAAGACCCTAAGGATTTTGTTAGAAAGCAATAATAAAGAGCCCTTAACAACTTCTTGTGCCTGATCCTGCTTTGTGTTCCAGTAAGGAGGGTGAGAAAGGTCACTACCAGCACTAGCAACAGTCTCTATTGATACATGTTTATTAAGCATATGTAGAAGAGCTGCAAAATGATAGCTAAAGATGACTTTCAAGTTGCACATTTGCAAGAGTAAATATATGGCATAGATTCCATTTTCATCTCTAGGTGACATTTCTCAGCCTCCCCTGTGGCCAGTATGAACATGTGACTAAGTGGTCACCAATGGAATGTGAGCCGACATTAAGGACCCTGAGTCCTAAGCCTTGGGGAAACATGCTGCCCCCATGTTCTTCTCTCCTCCCCTCCAGGTACGATGATGACCTGACCTGGAACACGCAGGTGAGGACAATGTCCTAAAATATAATGGACATCCAGAAAGAAGGAACCTGGGTCCCTGATGACCCCCCAAAAAGGAGCCACCTGCTCATTTTAAGGGCTCTATATAGGCTGTAAATAAGAGAAATAAACATCTATCTCTTTTCAGCCATTGAATTATTATTAGGATTCTCTGTTATAGCAGCCTGGCCTTACCTCAACTAATTCAAAAGTTTATAGAACCTTATCAGTAATAATAAAAACGGCCAGTTCAAACTAAAAAGGGCAAGAAAACTGTCCGTCCTTTCTATTGTGTAGTCCTTGGGTAGCACTGATCTGTGGCATGGCATACACTGTAAAACAAAAATGGTTTCCACATAAAAACATAATTGCTCTATGTGTTTAAAAAGAAATGTATGCATTTGAGATAGATGGCTGTGAGAGGGACCAATTAAGCAACTTGAATTTTATATTTTCCCAAATGTTAGAAAAATACAGAAGCATGCAGCATTTCTTTGAAGGGATGAATTACAAAATCAAGGCAGTGTGGAGAATGACTGAATTCCCTGTGGAGTACCTCTTCCGTCTGTTTGTCCATTCTTTTAACACTGGGCTTTGGCTTCACTTCACAGGTAGGAGGCTGGGCCACAAAAGGGATACAGGAAGGAATGCTGGTGCTTACATCCTGCTCCACTTCTCCTGGAAGCAGCAGCAAATCTGTTGGATACAAAACATTTCAACTGAGCCTTTCGCAAAGTTCACAATTTACCTAAATCATTTAAATGCCCAGAAGTCGAAGAAAATGAAGCAAATATGCTCATGTAATGTAGATCCATTTCACAATGCCTGTCCTCCTTTGGGAACTGGACTCAAGGGATTGCCCTTTCCTCATAATAGAAGCCATTAGTGCATTTATTTTTATTTTATCGTTGCAAACGTAAGAGTCCCCCCAAAATGTCTGGAGGAGTACTGTTTTTGGAGTAACCTGACTGTCCCTTTTATTCTCAACTCAATTTCTACTTTTATATGAAAATAAGGTGATAAGATGTTACTTTTGCTTCATTTTCCCATATTTTCCTGGAGGGATAAAGAGAAAGAAAATGGAGTACTGATTTCATCCTGTAACAATATGGCAATATTTCAAAAATATATGTTAAAAAACAGTAATGCCAGAAGGAAAGTACTTTAACTTTCAGCAGAAAAGTGAAATATTCTGTCATATTCAGAATGCATGGTCTAATTTTCAACACTTGCAAAGAACAGCAGCAACATGTTTCCTGCTTGTTAAGCACAATCTCAAGAATTCAATAACCCATCTTGGTTTTCTGATTGATCCATTATAAGCAGATATGTCTCCTGATTTTTGCAGGTATGATAGTACATGGATGCATCACAGACAACTGATGATCTTCCACAGCTTTCTTTAAGGAGGACAAAAAAACAATTAGAAGCAGAACAGGTTCCTCCTCAGCCTGTTTTCATAGGACCAGAAGGGCTTGCTGGAGCTAGCCAATAACTTGGAGCGGACTCTGGATGATGCTGCCTACTTCTCAAAGATGATCCTAATTAAGGCACTAATTAACTTCTCAGTGGAAGTGATTAATAACAAGCATGACTTGACTGCTGCAAATGGCAGCATGTATAGGGAGATAATTGAGCAGGTATTGATATTCAAAAACTGAAACTTATTTGAAATGAATCCCTCAACACTATAGATATCCCCTTCACAAAAAAATATAATTACAAAATTCTTATGACTCCAGCAACAGAGAACACAGACAGCCTGGAAACAGAATTGTGGAGGGGAAATGGCAAAGAAGGCAATTCTGCTATGACTAATTACTGAAATCTTAGACTATGATTTCATTAATTAGCAGAAATAAAAACAATAATAATAGCCAACACTTACATACTCATCATTTTATGTGCTTTAGCTCAGCTAATACTCCCAAAGCTCTATTATTTCCCATTTTACAGACAATGAGCTAAGAGACAGTAGCCTCACTCAATATCCCACAGCTAAAAACGGCAGAGCTGGACAGTCTATCTACATACAGAGCCCATGCTCTTATCCTACAATGTCACATTACGAACTTTCTTTAAATAAGCATTTTTGTTACATATTTTATTTTACTGGATCAAATTAAACACTCAAACTTAGAACCAACAAATGTCACTACTATAACACATTAGCATGGTTAGGCAACATTAAGTACATTTCCCAAACATTTCACACCCAGAGAAACAACATTTTAAAATTCAATGAGGTTGGTGGGAAGACTGGTTTTCTAATGCACCTATTTATGAGTTCAAAGCCAAACTCCCTCACTGAGCGTCCTCGTGTAACAGCCTAGGACTGGTACAAATCTGGTGAGGGACCCACGAACAAGGAAAGCAGCAAGAGACAGGCTTGGGCCTCTCGACATGAAAACCATTATCTACCTGACCCATTGGCTGACAGCGCAAACGTCAGTTCAAATGTGAAATCAAAATCAATTCTGCTTTCAGCGCTATTTAAAATCATCATTCTGGCTGACAGTATTGTGCAGTGAGGAGGACAACTCTGCAATTTCTTTACTGAAACTTCACTTCTCTAACCTATTTGCCAAGGTAGGATTTTCAACAAAAATGGTTTCTTTCATAATAATTCTACTGCCATGGGAACAATTCTTTCAAAATAACAAGACTCAGTATTCTCCACGTCTTAAATTCTTGTCATTTGTTTCTTCAGAATAAAAGCGAAATGCACCAATGCATATCTATTAGTGCCTAACATAGCACCTTATACATAGTGAATTCCCAACAAATACTTGGAGATAGAAAAGGAATTTTGTACACCTCAACTTTTAAACTCAACAGCAAGTATCGAGTCTGCCTGCCAATAAGATGTTGTGGATGATGTAAAATGACTATAGCCCTTACCCTCAAAAACTAAACGTTACAGGAATAAGACTTTCATATATAAAATCAATCAAAGAATAATCAAGAAAAAATTGAATGGCTCTAACTCTAAAGATGACAGATTTATAAAAGGGCAAAAACAATATGAATGAAAAGAGCCTGGCAAGGCATATGTTATAAAGAAAAGTACTGCAATCATTTAGCCTTTTACAATCGTGGGTGGGTTATATATATATACTCATATTCTCTCAGGAGAAAAAAAATACTGTATTCACTCATGGTAGGAAATGAAATTTCTGAAGTTCTCTGTATAACTTTCTGAAACAGAAATGCTTTAAGAGACTTAATCTGATCATATAGGTGTTGTTTCTAAAACAATCAAAGGCTTTGTTTTCATCTTAATGAAATGCAACCATCTTGGCATCATAGAATCAGGGCCACTTTCAAAAATGAATCTTGAGGTTGGACGGCAAGACTGGTTGAAGTATTTTAATCTCTTCTTTCTCAACCACGTGTTTAGAAATTCTACTATTTAAAAAGTAGCTATTCATGCCATTTGTCTCTGTATTTTGTCAATGATCAGCAAGTCAAAGACTACAGCCATGTAATCTAACACACTGGTACAAAGTGAGCAATCTACTTGACATCTGAAAATTTATATACAATAATATTAAATCTGCCTGGCATATTTATAAAATTAACCAGTCTGTTCATTTGTTACCACATAAAATGGCCAACATTTCCTGAAAGTCTGGGCATCCTAATACAAAAAGGATATAGATAAAAAACACTTTAGCCGTCCAGATCACTTCTTTATTATTATTATTATTATTATTATACTTTAAATTCTAGGGTACATGTGCACAACGTGCAGGTTTGTTACATATGTATACATGTGCCATGTTGGTGTGCTGCACCCATTAACCTATCATTTACATTAGGTATATCTCCTAATGCTATCCCTCCCCCTCCCCCCACCCCACGACAGACCCCAGTGTGTGATGTTCCCCTTCCTGTGTCCAAGTGTTCTCATTGTTCAATTCCCACCTATGAGTGAGAACATTCAGTGTTTGGTTTTTTTATCCTTACGATAGTTTGCTGAGAATGATGGTTTCCAGCTTCATCCATGTCCCTGCAAAGGACATGAACTCATCCTTTTTTATGGCTGCATAGTATTCCATGGTGTATATGTGCCACATTTTCTTAATCCAGTCTATCATTGTTGGACATTTGGGTTGGTTCCAACTCTTTGCTATTGTGAATAGTGCCACAATGAACATACGTGTGCATGTGTCTTTATAGCAGCACGATTTATAATCCTTTGGGTATATACCCAGTAATGGGATAGCTGGGTCAAATGGTCTTTCTAGTTCTAGATCCTTGAGGAATCGCCACACTGTCTTCCGCAATAGTTGAACTAGTTTACAGTCCCACCAACAGTGTAAAAGTGTTCCTATTTCTCCACATCCTCTCCAGCACCTGTTGTTTCCTGACTTTTTAATGATCACCATTCTAACTGGTGTGAGATGGTATCTCATTGTGGTTTTGATTTGCATTTCTCTGATGGCCAGTGATGATGAGCATTTTTTCATGTGCCCGTTGGCTGCATAAATGTCTTCTTTTGAGAAGTGTCTGTTCATATCCTTTGCTCACTTTTTGATGGGGTTGTTTGTTTTTTTCTTGTAAACTTGTTTGAGTTATTTATAGATTCTGGATATTAGCCCTTTGTCAGTTGAGTAGATTGCAAACATTTTCTCTCATTCTGTAGGTTGCCTGTTCACTCTGATGGTAGTTTCTTTTGCTGTGCAGACGCTCTTTAGTTTAATTAGATTCCACTTGTCAATTTTGGCTTTTGTTGCCATTGTTTTTGGTGTTTTAGTCATGAAGTCCTTGCCCATGCCTGTGTCCTCAATGGTATTGCCTAGGTTTTCTTCTAGGGTTTTTATGGTTTTAGGTCTAATATTTAAGTCTTTAATCCATCTTGAATTAATTTTTGTACAAGGTGTAAGGAAGGGATCCAGTTTCAGCTTTCCACATATGGCTAGCCAGTTTTCCCAGCACCATTTATTAAATAGGGAATCTTTTCCCCATCTCTTGTTTTAGTTAAGTTTGTCAAAGATCAGATGGTTGTAGATGCATGGTATTATTTCTGAGGGCTCTGTTCTTTTCCATTGGTCTATATCTCTGTTTTGGTACCAGTACCATGCTGTTTTGGTTACTGTAGCCTTGTACTATAGTTTGAAGTCAGGTAGCATGATGCCTCCAGCTTTCTTCTTTTGGCTTAGGATTGTCTTGGCAATGCAGGCTCTTTTTTGGTTCCATATGAACTTTAAAGTAGTTTTTCCAATTATATGAAGAAAGTTATTGGTAGCTTGATGGGGATGGCATTGAATCTATAAATTACCTTGAGCAGTATGGCCATTTTCATGATATTGATTCTTCCTATCCTTGAGCATGGAATGTTCGTCCATTTGTTTGTATCCTCTTTTATTTCATTGAGCAGTTGGTTTGTAGTTCTCCTTGAAGAGGTCCTTCACATCCCTTGTAAGTTGGATTCCTAGGTATTTTATTCTCTTTGAAGCAATTGTGAATGGGAGTTCACTCTTGATTTGGCTCTCTGTCAGTTATTGGTGTATAAGAATGCTTGTGATTTTTGCACATTGATTTTGTATCCTGAGACTTTGCTGTTATCAGCTTAAGGAGATTTTGGGCTGAGATGATGGGGTTTTCTAAATATACAATCATATCATCTGCAAACAGGGACAATTTGACTTCCTCTTTTCCTAACTGAATACCCTTTATTTCTTTCTCCTGCCTGATAGCCCTGGCCAGAACTTCCAACACTATGTTGAATGGGAGTGGTGAAAGAGGGCATCCTTGTCTTGTGCCAGTTTTCAAAGGGAATGCTTCCAGTTTTTGCCCATTCAGTATGATATTGGCTGTGGGTTTGTCATAAACAGCTCTTATTATTTTGAGATATGTCCCATCAATACCTAATTTATTGAGAGTTTTTAGCATGAAGGGCTGTTGAATTTTGTCAAAGGCCTTTTCTGCATCTATTGAGATAACCATGTGGTTTTTGTCTTTGGTTCTGTTCATATGCTGGATTACGTTTATTGATTTGCGTATGTTGAACCAGCCTTGCATCCCAGGGATGAAGCCCACTTGATCATAGTGGGTAAGCTTTTTGATGTGCTGCTGGATTTGGTTTGCTAGTATTTTATTGAGGATTTTTGCATCGATGTTCATGAGGGATATTGGTCTAAAATTCTCTTTTTTTGTTGTGTCTCTGCCAGGCTTTGGTATCAGGATCATGCTGGTCTCATAAAATGAGTTAGGGAGGATTTCCTCTTTTCCTATTCATTGGAATAGTTTCAGAAGGAATGGTACCAGCTCCTCCTCGTACCTCTGGTAGAATTTGGCTGTGAATCTGTCTGGTCCTGGGCTTTTTTTGGTTGGTAGGCTATTAATTATTGCCTCAATTTCAGAGCCTGTTATTGGTCTATTCAGGGATTCGACTTCTTCCTGGTTTAGTCTTGGAAGGGTGTATGTGTCCAGGAATTTATTCATTTCTTCTAGATTTTCTAGTTTATTTGTGTAGAGGTGTTTATAGTATTCTCTGATGGTAGTTTGTATTTCTGTGAGATCGGTGGTGATATCCCCTTTATCATTTTTTATTGCGTCTATTTGATTCTTCTCTCTTTTCTTCTTTATTAGTCTTGCTAGCGGTCTATCAATTTTATCCTAGTCTCTGATAAAACAGACTTTAAACCAACAAAGATCAAAAGAGACAAAGAAGGCCATTACATAATGGTAAAGGGATCAATTCAACAAGAAGAGCTAACTATCTTAAATATATATGCACCCAATACAGGAGCACCCAGATTCATAAAGCAAGTCCTTAGAGACCTACAAAGAGACTTAGACTCCCACACAATAATAATGGGAGACTTTAACACCCCACTGTCAACAATAGACAGATCAACAAGACAGGAAGTTAAAAAAGATATCCAGGAATTGAACTCAGCTTTGCACGAAGCGGACCTAATAGACATCTACAAAACTCTCCACCCCAAATCAACAGAGTATACATTCTTCTCAGCACCACACCCCACCTATTCCAAAACTGACCACATAGTTGGAAGTAAAGCACTCCTCAGCAAATGTAAAAGAACAGAAATTATAAAAAACTATCTCTCTGACCACAGTGCAATCAAACTAGAACTCAGGATTAAGAAACTCACTCAAAACCGCTCAACTACATGGAAACTGAACAACCTGCTCCTGAATGAGTACTGGCTACATAACAAAATGAAGGCAGAAATAAAGATATTCTTTGAAACCAATGAGAACAGGCAACTTCTAAATAGAGCTTCCAGCTATGATAGTCTTGTCAGTAGTTCTTATTCTTAAAAATGATTGAAGATCTCAAAGATCTTTTGTTTACATGGGTTATGTCTATCAACACTCACCATATCAGGAATTAAAACTGACAAGTGTTCCAATATTTGTATATTGGAATCATTACTAATAATCAAATTACATATTAAAATAAGTATTTTTATTAAAAATCTATTTTCTAAAAATAGAAAATATTGAGAAGCATTATTTTACATTTTTTCGAATCTGTTATAATATCTGGCTGAACAGAAGAAAGTTGGATTCCCTATTTGTTTCTGCATTCAATTTTTGAAATACACTGTTTTAGTTGAAGTAAAGAAAATCCAGACTCATATAGATAGGTAGTTGGAAAGGGGAGGAGTATTTTAATAGTCTTTTTATATAGTTGTGGATATTTTTCTTTGATACTACACCACGATCTGAAAAATCATAGAGTTTTTCAAAGGTTATTTTCCATGAGCATTCTGAAAACTTGTCAGTGAATTTTTTGTACTGCTACATTAAAATCCATTGGTCTATCTTGCACACTGAATGGATCTTTCCCCTATGTATAATTTTGTAAACATTATTAATTGGTCATTTGGAAAATATTGGTTCACTGTGTTATGTAGATCTTCCAAATGTTGACATATTTCATTATACAGTATAAAAATCACATTAGTTAATATCACCAATTTTGCCAGAAAAGCCTTTAAATATTGAGAAGCTGTCAAGCTCACAGTACTAGATACGAGTTCTCTAAAAATCTAATTTTCGCTTGATCCATTGCCAATTTTATCATTGGCAATGAATACTATTAGTTATTAGCCTTGAAGAGACAGGCTCACTTTATTCATTTTTGAGAAATATAGTTTGTCAGTCACTCTTTCCAATAAAAATGGTGATTCATGAAAGAGAAAAATAAACCAGTTCAGCACACCACTCAATCACCCAAGTGTTTTTCCACAACCACTGTATTTCAGTATGTAACAGAAGTGCCTTATGAACACTTACTATTTTGACACAAAAATCATTAAAAAGAGGTATACTTAAGAATAAAGATGTAATATGTAATAAAATTAATAATTTTTACTACTTCAAGAAATTTTCAGTGGAAACTGGCATTTGTTTTTGATTATAAATTTATGACAGTGAAGATGACACAACTGCTAGTATAATTTGGTGCCACAAACTTGATTCACACTAAGGTGCCAGCATCTTCACCCATCATTGCTTTTCCAACTTCAATGCAAACATCAACACATGACCTGCCAACCTTAGGGTTTCTGAGGGGTTCCTATACCACATCTTCAGGAGTCTGCTGGTCTAGCTAATGTCAGTCCAACCCTCCCACCATCAACAACTAGAAAAGCTAGATAAATCACAAAAATCAACTATTTAAAGGTGTTGGAGAACTACCAGGGTAGCCTAGGACTTGAGGAACCAGGATTTCAGCCACAGTTCTTAAATATTTGTTGAATAAGAGTCCCTAGTCGTTCAGGGGTGGCCTAAAGCTGCTTAAAGTTGCAAATTAGGAATGAACTTTTTTTCAAAAAAAGAGGTAACCGATGTGATCATTTGTATGCACTTGCTCATTAACGGACTAAAAATGACTGGACATTGCTATGGTTAGGATATGGTTTGTTTGGCCTCAGCAAGTCTTATGTTGAAATTTGGTCCCCAATGTTGGAGGTAGGTACTGGAGGGAGGTGCTTGGTTTCAGAGTAGATCCCTCAGGAACGGCTTGGTGCCATTCTCTCCAGAGTGAGTGAGTTTTCGCTGAGTTCTCACTCTTAGTTCCCAAAAGAACTGATTGTTGAAAAGAGCCTGGCACCTCTTTCCCTCTCTCTCGGTTCCTCTCTCGTCATGCAGTTTCTGCACATGTGGTTCCCCTTTGGCTTCCCCAGAAGCACACGCTGGCTCCATGCTTCTTGCACAGCCTGCAGAACCATGAGCCAAATAAACCTCTTTTCTTTACCCAGCCTCAGGTATTCTTTTACAGCAACATAAATGGACTAAGGCAGAAGTACAGTACTGGAGAACCTGAAAATGAAAATCAAACAAGGCTGCCAACCTTTGAGCAGGAATCAGTGCCCATTCTCAGTCAATACAATCAGCCACACCATAAGTACACCCGCTGACCAAGAGATGTGTGTAAGACAGTATGAATCTCAGAAGTAGATTAAAAAAAAAAAAAAGTCTCTTGAGCTACTTGCACTTGACCAGAAAAGAGGTTGGGCTGGGCCCACCGAGGAAGCATAAAAATAAAGATGAACAGAAAATCTTCCTATTCTAATGTCCTCAGCACAATAACTAATAACTGATCCAAACAATAATTGTGCTGGGTAAAAGTATGGGCCAGTTTGTCTGAGGCATGACAGTCACCAGGTTAACTACCTTATCTCAAATTCAAAAAAGGAAGAATAGGTTAACTTGATGTCAAATAAACACAGTGCACCAAACTCTGTGGCAGACGCTACCCTCAGAAAACTGCTTAATACCATTGCTTAATAGAGTTGGCTCCACTGAAAAACCATCTCCAATCTTTCCACCTGGGCTGCCAAGTGATAAAACAAATATTAGAAAAGAATCATGCTCCTAAATCTTAGAGAATATTTATGAGAGTGAATGGGGTGAACAAATAAAGTCAATGGTAGAAAAACAATATGCAAGCCACTTCCTTGTTGCCCCAAGCAAATCTGTTGCTTAAACAATAACAACGGAATCTAATCAGTAAACCTCCCAGCTGCCAAAATTATACAAGCAACTTTACTATTTAAAATGTCACATTTCCCATCTGATATAAATATTTGCCTTCTGCTCACATTCCTGAAGTGTAAAACAAATTAGGCCCAAACTAAAATTCGCCTTGGCACCAACTATTTAATTTCTTTTCCCTTTAAATGACCCAGATTGTGCATTATGAAAATTGTAAAGCCCTGGTGGCCTTTTCAGTAATTAGAATAGATTGCTGAAGCCTAGGTTGATTTTCAGCATAGGCTTCACACATCATTCTATGTGTGGGAAGGTCTTGACGAGTTCATTCAAGTCTTGGTTCAGCCTCAGTAATCTTTTATACACAAATACAAGAAGGCTTGTTATCTGATTTCTGGAAAAATCATACTAGTAAGATGTTTTTATCAATATTTTAAAATAAATCTGGTAATTGAAAAATGTAACTTGAAAAAAATATTTAAAGAAAACAATGTGAAAATACTGAAGAAGGTAAAAAGGCGATTTAAAAGATTGACGGGCCGGGTGAGGGGGCTCACACCTGTAATCCTAGCACTCGGGCGGGCGGTGGGGCGGGGTGTGGCCGAGGCAGGTGGATTGCCTGAGCTCAGGAGTTCAAGACCAGCCTGGGCAACACAGTGAAACCCTATCTCTACTAAAATACATAAAAATTAGCCAGGCATGGCAGCATGCACCTGTAATCCCAGCTACTTGGGAGGCTGAGGCAGGAGAATTGCTTAAACCTGAGAGGCAGAGGTTGCAGTGAGCTGAGATCATGCCATTGCACTCCAGCCTGGGCGACAGAGTGAGACTCCATCTCAAAAAAAAAAAAAGATTGACATAACAAAAATCAGATCTGTTGGCTATGTTGGTTTATGTCAATATACAGAGTTCTCATACTGGTAAGAAGTGAAAAATTTAAACCATCACAAAAGCACCCAAAACATGTACTTTTGTGCCCTCTTATGAAATTTATTTTATATTGCATATGTATTACATGCAGACTAGAACCATTTGTCTCCACGTGTTATCCTCAAATTAATTATATTAGAATCATTGGGGGTGTCGGTTAAAATGCAGATCACCAGATGCCACCAAAGACCTTCTGAATTAGATTCTCTATTGGGAGGGAGATCCAGAAATCTGCATTTTTAACAAGGTTCCCTCCCCCAAATCACCCAAAACCCAAAACAGTGTGCTTCCTCTACAAATGTAGCTTCCTGACAAGTCCTTAGCTCTCCCTTCTAATCCAACTGGAGTCCCTTTGCTGCTCTCATTATAGAAATTCAGAGCCACTCAGGGTATTAAAGTTAGAGAACCTCTCCCTGGAGGATGTGATCCCTCTAGACCTCTGATCTCACTTAAACCAAATAAGTAAAGAATCTGCAACATCTGCTGGTTAATAGTGTGCTTGAGAAGCAATCCCTTCACGGAGTAGTGTGATGCTTGAAAGCAGAATAAAAATGTTCATTTCTTCCAATTACCAAAACCTCTCAAATTCAAGCAGCTGAAGAAGCTAGAGTAGAGGTTTATACAACCAATGTACAGATAGTCACCATCCCTAAACCAACTTTACCTAGTCACTTTAACTTCTGTCTGATTATAAATAAGCCATCCTCCCCCAACACTAATGACCATAAAACATGTTTATGACCACCTAAAGACAGTAAACAATAGTTAAACATCAACAACCAAACCTCCGTGGAAACTGCCCCTTCTGTAAAATTAGGCATTGACTTTGATATATTCTTGCATGTTAAATCAGGAATGAGTGTTTAAAAAAAAAAAAAAAAAACTTCCTGATTTTGAACATATTTCAAACATCCTTCGAGAAACAAAGGATACCTATGCCTATCCAGAAATGTTAACTAGAAAGAAAAAAGTTTTCCTCTAAATAAACATCAACAGACTAGCATGAAGCCTTTTTCAATCCAGCCCATGTGGAAAATGCCTCAGAAGAAACATTTACAATATATCTTTAGTATTAAGGGTTTAATTTACATAATAAATATTTTTAAAAGCAAAAAAATGGATTTTCTTTTATTTTCTTTAGAATAGTTCACTGAAGCCTGCATAGATTTTCAGCCTAGGCTTTGCATCTTATTCTACATGTGGGAAGGCCTTGACATTAGTTCACTCAAATCCACTGAAACTTGGTTCAGCCTCAGTAACCTTTAATACCAGGCAAGACAGCCTTATTTTTGTGATCAATTCTGATATTTTTATGATTTTTATGATTAATAGGTATTTTATGTGTCCCTCAAAAATAATTTCAGTTTACAAGACTGTACCTCTAGGAAACAGAGTTGACTTACAATGGCTCCACTTGAGACAATTACCTAAGAATCAATCCTGTGATGAATTGTTAAGGGGGAGAGCACATCTTTATTTCATTTAAGACCAAAGGTTTCACAATCTTCAAAAAGCTTTGACCTTTCAGGTGAAATTTTTGTTACTGAAAAAAATAGCTCACAACTTTAGTTCTTCCTGTCTTAGGAGAGGTGGAGGTAAGAATTGCCAAAAACAGGAAAGCTGTCTAAAGCCTTATTTGTAGTTTCTAGAAAGAGGTCAGGTAGTATAGAAAGGAAATAGAAAGCATACCCTCACTCATTTGGGGTTTAATCTCTTCATCCATGTCCAAATCTTCTAAATCTAGGAAATTATCTACCTAGAAAAAAGAATTAACATAATTTTTAAGCAGAATAGACCTAAAGAAAAACTGCAGTGAAAAGTCAACGAATCCACTTCCACAACACCTAACTGAGCAGCTGAATCCACTTTTCTCATTAACTCTTGAGTCCCAGCTCAAGGCTTTTGTGTTCACTGTGCTTTCCCAAGAGACATCTGAAAGAAGCAGTAAATTTGAAAGCTGGCCTGGATTTTGTAGGCACCATAGTCAGGCCTCTGCACTGAAAGGGAAAAAAGCAGTCTGAGAGTTTTTTAAAAGGGACTTTGTTCCAGATTCTATCCCAGAATATATACCACCACCATGACAGTTGAAAACAGTGTTTCTGGGTTTTGTTTTCCTTTTATTGCTTTTGCCTGTCAAGCAAATGGTGGCGGTGGCTCTGGCTACTGTCATAACACCGTGCTTTCTGATAGCACTCTGAGGAGCCAGAGAGAAGAAACTAAAGAAAGCAGGAGAGAAAAGTTCATTCAAAACAAAATCACAAGAGATGTGAGCAGGGCAAAAACTCAAGTGTTCTCTCTTTCGAGCAAATAAAACTGAAAATTACTTCAAAGGTAAAAAGCAGGGCAAATGACCTTTACAGACACAATAGCAGCATTTCAATGAAAAACTATTCCACATGGAATACTGCTTTCCACTGCAAGCTGACAATGAGACATTTTAGATTAACAAAATGGTAACATTTAGACATGAACTAATTCATCTCAAGTGAATATCAAAGAGTGTAAATAAGAAAATGATCTCACCACTGGCATGAATGAGACCTAGTAAAGGAATAAGGTTGCAATGCCTTTTATGCTCATGACCTAAACATGTGCATAATAAAATACCATAAAATTACAAATTTACATTTCATAATTGGAATTCAAAAGACAGGCTGGGTCTTTCTTCCCCCAGCTCTACTTGCGAGACCATAGCTATTACATAGGAATTTTAAATGGTACTGCCATTGCTTTTAAGTACATACCTGCAGTTATTATCTGGCATCCAAGTGAAGGCAAAAATTTATCTTCCACATAATGGTTTCACTACTAAATTTTGAAATTCTGTCATATTATATTGTTATTTACTTAGTGGTGTATGCTAATGGGGACTGGAGTCATGTTTCTCTATCAAAGCACCCCTTTCATTTATTAAGCTCTAAGGAAAAAAGATCCAGAACCCAGCTGACCAAGAATAGTTTAAGATATTCAAACATCAATTAATAAAAAAAAATTGTAAGGACAAAATCTGCTGAATTCTCCAACTTTGTATAAGGGACAGTAAATGAGTCCTGTGTTTTTAGTTTGTTTGTTGTGTTTTTGGTTTTTGCCAAGAAAATTGAAACATGCCTTACCTTCACCTTTTCTGCCCAATTCAGATCACCTTGAAAAGAACTGCCAATTTTTTGGCCTTCATCCATCACTATCTGAAAAAATACTTTTTGGCCTTCATCCATCACATATTGATGGAAAAATGAAACAACTGAAAATAAAGAAGCTGATCTTGTAGCCCTTCAGATGATAAAACTCCCCTTCCCGTTTTTGTTAATTAGCTGAGCATAACAGACCAAATTCAGTAAGCCATAGCGGAGGTCAGGGAATAGGTTTCAGGAGCTCTGATTCTACTTCTGTCCTGTAGACTCATCCACAGTGTAACCTATAATAGACTACTTAATCTCAGTCTTCTCATGAGTAAAATAGGAATACTCTCCACTCCTATCCCATCCCAATGAACCTCTGATGAACAAATCAGAGAATGGTAACACAACATTTTCAAGTTATTAGAAAACAATGTCATTCAACCATTCTCTGTTCCTCAAATGCTGGTTAAAGACTCTCTATATAATATAATCCCAATGGTCAGTCATTGCCAGTAAAGAGTGAAAAAAGTTCGTATCCCACAATTATCTCTCTGGAAGCAAGTTCAGGAAATAAAGAATTATAGGCATCTGCTGTATATAAACATATTTCTAACACAGAGATTTTTGTTCCCTTGTTAGAAAAAAACACAATATACAATTCTGTCCACAATATTGCAAGGAATACATGATGAAGCAGAAATTAGAAACTTAAATGGCTTAAAAAGCAGAACAGTTTCCACTATAATTCCTTGATAATTAAAAATCATAGCTGAGGAGAATGTGAAGAGTCTATAAAGTCTTCAAGATTAGAAAAAGCGTATCTAACATTTATTGACCAGATATTAGAGAAAAACAAGATAATCGATTCCATCTTGAGTTTGAAAGAGATGAATCTAGGACAGGTGAAAGAAAGTCCCATTTTACACAGAGAATTAGAGAAAGGAGCTCTTTTGTCCCAAATAGAAGACAAGCTAAAAGAAATAATTTCAATAATTTATAGATGGCAGATCCTTAAGAACTTTTGAACAAAAATTGGGGATAACCAGTTATCATCATAAACAATAGCTGTCAACATTATGAAATATATGTAATGATGACTTTCAATAAAGTGCCCCAATGGCACTCCTTCTAGAATTAGGAATTACAGATCTAATAACTGTCTAGTGTTTAGTAGGGTCTCTTTTTTTTGATTCATGAAGAATTCTTTTCTTCTGAGATTGTTTCTATACATGTACTATGTTGGTATTACCTGTTCTTCCAAACATTGTGATGAAGTACGAAGAAAGATGGTTTTATTTCTAAGATGGTAGTCATCTGCTTCATTTTTATGAGTAACTTTTGCTGAGGTAAAAATGTTTTCTGAAGAATCAGTTCCAAACACTCCCCTTTTGGACACATGATCCTCTGAAATAAGAAGTTATGCACTATTAGAAAACATCCACAATACCAAGTCTGGTTTATTTTGTGTATATTGAGAAAGTTTCTTCCAATGAAAAAGAATACTTTTCAAAGAACTCTACAAACCGAACCCTTGAGGCATTAAGCACTCTGAACTGTTAAAAGTGATTTCTAAAACTGGATAGAAAGATAACATTATGTCACTCAACATATATTTATTGAGTGCCTATTACATATCCAGCACTGTTCTTGGTCGCTGTTAAAAAGTTAATAAAATACAGTATTTGTGAGACTCTTAGACATGACCTATCACATCTTTTTCTAAATTTGAGGGATTTTTTTCTTTATATGAAAGCAATGTATGGATGACTTTAGAAAACTTATGAGGGAAAAAAGTAAAATATGAAAATCACTCATAATCCTACAAGCCAGAAAGGCCACAACAAAGTTTTTTCAGTGGCTATCTAATATTTTTTACGTATCCATGCACTTCTAAAAATCCAGAAGGAATCATACTGTACATAACTCAACTTGCCAGCAGTATCTCTTTTCAGGTTATTGAATATTCCATGTAATTTTAATAGTTATCAAGAACTCCTTTATATAAATGTAAGATAGTTTATTTAACCAATTCCTTATTCTTGACTGTTTAAAATTATAAACAATGAATATCTTTGTACTAAATCCATGTACATTCACGATTATCTACTTAGGCTGAGGAAAGCATCTAAGAGTAATCCTAAATTAAGAGACTAAGACAATTATATCATGATGCTATTAAAAGAAATGTGGGGGAAATAAAATGAAATAATTTTGATAAAAGATAATGAATGAATTCAGCTTTGGCCATATTGCATTTGAAGTGCCAGTTGAAATCGTAGTGGAAATGACCCAAAGGCAGCTGCAAATGTAGGTTAAAATCTGGGAGAGATTTCACAGGAGGTAAATATCTGTTCATCAATTACACTGAGGTAATAGTTTAAGCCATAACATTATTTTTAATATTAGTAATAATATTAAAATTAATAATCAGGGTTAACATTCATTGAGTGGCACTCTTTTGTGAGCATCTCATGAATCATTTCATTTAATCCTCAGAATACCACTAAAAGTAGACACTGTTACTATCCTTACTTTACAGATTAAAGAACCAAGGCCTACAGAGAGAGAAAGTAACTTGCTCAAGGCTATACAGATGGTTAAGTAGCAGAGTGGGGATCTGAACACTGCCTTCTGACTCTAGAACCTATCCTCCTAACCACTGTGCCTTGCTTCCTGCATTAATGCAGTAAATGAAAAGAAAAGGTCTTTAGAGAATAGAAGAAAAAAGGAGCAGAAAGGTGGGGGCAGGGAGCCAGAAAGGAGACAAAGAAGAATGGCTTACAATAGTCAAAGAAGAACTAAGCGTGCAGGGTACATTCCAAAACTGAAACTTGCTTCTTCTGACAACAGCAAGTACAGGAACCTACGTCAATGATCACTAAAAGAGTAAAAGAGTGATAAAGGAATTCAAAAAAAGTCAAGTGGCAGAAATCAAGCCATTGTTGGGTTGGAGAATCCTACTCCATCCCCTTACTAGCCTCTACTATAAAAATGTTCCAGAGACTCAGCAATTGTTTTATCTGTGAGTTCCTTAGGAACATCTGTAACTGAAGGGGTTACAGATAGCCTAACCCAGCACAGTGCCCATGTTTGTTTCTCTTGACCTGTCAGTGCATGGCATCAAAATCAGTGAGATTCATGTTGTTGTAATGATCACAGCCTGGTACAAATCCAGTTAACATCATTTGTTTGCTTCTGAATACCCTATCACTGGTAGAATTAAGACTTGTGAGGGTATCTTTAGGACATAACACAGATATACTGATGGGAAACAGAGATAAGGTGACCTAATCTATAATACGTCATTAATAAGCCAGAGAGGGAAAACACAAATATGAAATGCATCACGTTCTCTTTAAAAAGTTCACATCCATAAATAACACCAGCTCAGGCCAGCTCTCTACTACTGCCTACTGCACCAGCACCAGTGACTTCTAACTAGCTACTAGTGGGAGAGGTAGCCCTTGCCTTTTGCCTCAATAAATCCTTGGAAATTCTGGTGCGAAGCACCCAACCTTGGCTTCTGTGGGTGGAGGGCTGGGGGTTGCTGAGCAAAGTGTGAGGAGGGTTGCTAAGAATATGTTGGAGTAACCAGCCCTATACAAGATGAGATAAATGAGGAAGAAATGGTCTTAGGACTTAGTCTCCCTGACTTCTTCCACTTTTACGGCCACAGAGATGTCCTGTATCAGTCCTAGGGCAAACAGCATTGGTAGCAGAGTAGAGCAAGATAGGCATGGAGACACTTGGAAATAGGAGTTAACTGAAGGATGAAAGGGTTCCTCAAACTTCATCAATGTTCAAAGGAAAGCAGACTTCCTGTGGCTACTGCCATGCCTCAGTGCTCTATTCTAATAAAAGGTGAAACGGTTTCAGTTTTCCCTGCTCATCCTTTAAATCAAGTATAACCTAAATCTAGTAATTACTAAGAAAATACTATGTACCCAGCACAACACTATTGTAATAATCTATTGACTTAAATACTTGAAAAGCACAGCAATGTCTGAAAATCAAAGATGTTCTACAAGGACGAGTTCTATTTGTTCTCATGATCACTCAGTGTACTCTCTACTATTTCCAATAAAACACCCAGGTTATGTGACAGGTAACCAGATGAAACTCCTTTGAAATAAAGAGCAAAATATAATGAAGTCTCAGCTTCTGATCCTGATGTTGAACTACTGTTGGGATCTCAGGTCTAACAAAAATTCTCATCCACTCTTTTTAAAATTCTCCTTTTATAAACAGAAAGTTTTCATTTTTAAAAGACAGACTGGATGATGTAGAAAAGAACTTGTTCATTCTTGACAAAAGCTACAGTTTAAGGCTCCTTCCTAAACTTCAGAATTGGTTTCACAAGAATATATGCTATATCCCTCCTAAGACCCAGAAGTGCTCCTTCTAAAGGCTTTTATCGTTGTTTTTAAAATCCAGCAAATAATAAATATCTTGGCACAATGAGATAGGGAAAAAAGTTATTTTTCAATATGATAATGTCAAAATGGCAGATGCTGGCACAGCCCAGAATCTGAAGTGGATGAAAGTCTGATTAGAGAGCCAGATGCCACTTCCTATAGTAATCCTGGTGAAATCCAAATGTGCCACCCAAGGGTTCGTCTCATCTTCTTCTGTTTCTGTTTTTCATCAGGGTCCTCTTCCACCCTTTCATCTTATCCCTAATGTTTCTTGCTTTGAAATAAGTGTCAGACATAATACGGTTTAGAAATCTAACAGCAATATTTCAGAGAACAAGTAGGTTATTGAGACCTGAAAAAGCGTTTCTTTGGGCATTTCTGAGTCAAAACTTCAATACAGATGAGACGAAAGTTTTTTTCTAAAGGTTTTTCGAGGTTTCATTATTCTGAAGCAATGGAATTTCAATTTCCTTTTGATACTAAACAGACAAGCTTCCAACAGATCTCCCTTACAAGGCCCCCACCACACCTATAGGGTCTAATTTCAGACCAAAGAAAAAGGTTACACACCTTGAAAAGGTTGAAACTTTTGATGTCTTGATAAATTAAACACTAACCACATATTGATTATACATCTTTCAGATAAAAGTGATTATTTTTAAAGAACTCAATTTTGAAAGAAACTTTTTTAAAAATTCAAATTAATCTGTACAAAAGCCAGACTAGTGCCCATGCAATGAGAAGCATTATCACACTTGCAGGAGAATTTTCACAGATCAGCACAACCAACATTAGAATTCACAACCAAATCTGCCAGCAACCTCGGAGTGTCTGTTCTTCCACACTCTGGTCAACAGCAATATAAATCAAGAGCATGTTCTCAGTTGAGAGGAGATATTGAATATATTGCTAGAAGGAAAGAAAAATTCATAGGGGGACAATTCTGTGCAACACTAGGCAATTGCAAAAATCCTTCTGCAAAGAGAATAGGGGATAAGCAATCATGCTTATAACAAGGTTGGGTACTCTGAAAGTCAGGGTGTGATTTTTGCATTACACTCCTTGCCTAGAGCAATGTTTCTCTGGACAATAATATTTGCTCTTGATTTGTCCAGCCAAACTACTTCACTCCACTGCTTCTTGATCACATGCTCCTTGTTATCTGGCCTCCCCTGGAGCGATAGTCGTTCGAACTAAATAAGCAATTTAAAAACCAATCAATCATAAATCAGAATAAATCCAAAGAAGCTAAATTCGGCAGACAAATGCTTTGTCTAAATTCCCTTTGCAGTGCTCTGAATTCCAACTGTTTTATGTTCCTCATTTGAAAGGGCACAGGGAGGAGAGGATTACCTCAGTCTGGCCAGTCAGGAATAACTGTGCTTTCCCTGAGGCTGGATGATAATTGACTCATTATTCACAGTCATAGCCATCAACCTGCCAAGGCACAAATGCACAACCCTGGTCTGGAAAAATGTGTGTGAAAAATGCCAGATGAGGGACACAATAGCAGTAAGTTGAAACTTTTGAAATGTCCAGTGTTAGGCACTTACAGAGAGAAAAATATGAACAGAGTGTAATGTTTCTGAAAGCTTATTTTCAGACAGAAAAAAAAATTCTGTGTGGTGGCTGAGTTACGGAGCTCATTCAATCCAAAAGTTATATTCTGGTCATCAACTATATGCAAGGTGACAAAGACAGTTAAGACTCAGTCCTTGTTGTCCTCACAGAGTTTACAAACTAGGAAGTTAAGCCATACATGCAAACCACCAAAAGAGAAGGCACCGATGGCAGATGATATAAGAGAGATAGAAACACAAAGAATGGTAAAATCATAATTGGTTTGGCAGAATCACAAAAGGCTTCACATAGGACTAAGGCATCTGAGCTGGGCTTTGAAAGATAGCTACAATTTCAACAGGTGAGCACTGTGAAGAGGTCATTTTACAAAGGGAAAATTCCATGAGCAAAGCCCTCAAGGTGGGAACACACAAGGCCTGAGTAAGAATCGCCGATTATTCCAGGAAGATTTGGGGACACATGGACGGGGTATATTTGGAGGGCCCGACAAAAACTCTGTACTTGACCTACATCCTGGGGAGTCACAATTAGAGCTGTGCTCTAAGAAGACAAATGGATAGAATGGATCAAAGTGGTTCAGGTACTAGAGACAAGAAAGTGTGGAGCTACCATAGTAACCCAGGTGAGAAGTAAAGGGAGCTTCAGCTATGGTGGCCTGAAGAAATTTAGAAAAAAAAAAAAAGAGTTCGCAAGTGAGTTCTCTTTTGTTTTTAAAACAAAAATGAAGGCACTATCTCCAACTGGTTATGTTTCCTCTCCAGATATCACAGAATCATCACGTTATCTTTCCACTGCAATCTGTACTATACTTTTACATATAATTTGGCATGCCCTAGATAACTTTTTTTTTAAACAATCTCTGTGATGGTGGGTGCAAATACAGCATGATAACAACCTGTCAAGTAGAAAACAGTTTGGTGCCAAGAGGCCACACATACCCATCCCATAAAATGAGCTTACCTTCCCAACTAACTTAGTCAAGACCACAAAAGAGGTGGCCCACACTGGGAACAGATGCAGCATATTTGAGCATAGCCTCCTACGGCTCCAGAATTCCTAACAGAGCAACAGCTGCTGGTGACAATATCAACACAAGGTAGAATCTGTTACATCCAAGTTTGTTTCTTTTTTGCACCACAGCCCTTTTCTACGTTAAACTTACAAGTCTATGCACAACTGATTTATTTTCTTAATAGGTAATATTTACAGACAAGCAGGATCCTCCTAGTTCTTGAGCCAAACCCAGGATCACAAGGACACATGCTTATCTGGTGAAGAACCCAGGGAGGATCTAAGTATCTAAGTATCCATGAACAATACCTCCACTTCCCCACAGCTTTACTGAGGTGTAATTTACACACCACAAAGCTCACTCATTTTAAGTGTACAATTCAATGATTTTTAGGAAGTATACAAAGTTGTACCACCATCACCACGATTCCATTTTTAGGTCATTCCATCACCCCAAAAAGGTGCCTGGAGCCCATCTGCAGTCACTCCCTGTTCCTACTCCCAACCACAGGCAACCATTAATCTATTTTTTGTTGCTATGTATTTATCTCTTCTAGATATTCCATACCAGTGGAATCATATGATATGTGGTCTTTTGAGCCTGACTTCTTTCTCTTAGCATAACCTTATTGAAGTTTGTCTGTTGGAGTATGCACTTCCCTTCTTATTGTCAAATAATAGTCCGTTGTATGAATAGTACCACATTTTATTTTTCCATTCACCAGTTGATAAACATTTGGAGTGTTTCCACATTCTGTACCCCCTTAATTATGATACTGAGTTTGACCTAAGGACTGTCATTACTAATCCAATTCCATGCTGCCCCACATGATGAAATAAAACCACAGGGTAACTATGCAGTTTAACTTCCCTCCACACCCAATGGTAGAAATGCTGATGCTCATTGAGGCTATAATTCTCTAATCACCTTATCTCCACCATACCATCAGAGTCCTAGGATCAGGTCACTCTCTATCACATGGCCTGTTTTCTTCAAATTTATATGAAATAATCTGAAATTACCTTCCTAAATTGTTCATTGCTTGTCTATTCCCACAAAAATGTATCCCTAAGGAGAGCAGGGATCTCACTGTCAGGAACTTACTCACAGTTCCTGTAAAGTAAAATGTTCATTCTCCACTCTAAAAGATGGGTAACAATTAAGATTGAAATGTAGATTTATATTCAGCCCTTCAACCAGGAAGTTCTACACTGAGAGTCCACTATGTGCTTAACACTCTGCCAGGCTGGAAAAAGAGTTAAGAAAATTATATGACATGGCCTCTGCTTATAAGAAACATATAATCTAGTCCCTTAAAATTTTTACTCACTCAAAGACATAACACTTTACATATCTTTCAGCTCACATTTCCATGTTTAAGAATGTATCCGAAAGAAATGATTAAGTACGTGGGTGAGGATTTCACTGCAAAGCCAAAAATGTCTGATCTATTCCCTTGAACATTTTTATTTAATCGAGGACATATATTTTTGCAGATTTTTGAACCAGCATTTCCATGGGTGGAAATGTATCCAAAGGCCATAAGTAAGAAGGGTGCAAAGACGCTAGTACTAAAATCAATCAACAAATAAACAAAGGCCAGAACCCTTGCAAGGACCTACAAAGCTATCCATGCCCGATCTTTCCCTACCTCCATGCCCTCTAACCTCAGCTTCCACACTCCTTTCACCGTTGCTCATGCAACTCCAGCCACACCGGCCTCCTTGCTGGTCCTCAGCTGGGCAGGTGCTGCTATGACCTGGCCTTTGCACTCGCTGTTCCCTGGGCCTCAAATATCTGCAGACTCACCTCATTCCAACTTTATTCAAATTTTACCTTCCCAGATCATACTATATAAAATTGCAACCCTAAATCCTCCTGCCAGCACTCATGATTCCCTATACTGTGCTCTGGTTGTTTTCCCCCTTTCTAGAATACAAATTTCAGTTTCCCCCTTCTAGAATACAATTTCTCTGAAGGCAATGATCTTTGTGTCTTTTGTTCACTTCTGTGAGTAACATTTAGCACATAGTAGATATTCAACAAACATTTACCAAATGAATGAGGGCGTGCAATGTAGCATCATTTGTAATAGCCAAAAATTAGAAATAATTCAAATGTCCCACAAAAAGAGAATGGCTAAACAAATATCCATACAAGTGAATACCAGGAAGTCATCAAAACACTGGTAAATGATATTTATTGCTATGAGGTGTTCATAATATAATGTTACATGAAAAAGCAAGTTACTTCTTATCTGTAGAGTGGTGAGGGGAAAAAAGCAAGTTACAGAAACTATGTGTAGCATAAGCCCACTTTCATAAAATAATTATAATAAATTTGCTGAATATATAAATGAATGAAAATATTAGGTTGAGCCTTTAAAATAATTCAGGTAATATAAATATAAATAAACATATTTATGTGCATTTTATATATTTTTTATTTAATCCTAATAACAACTTAATGAAGTAGAAGTTATTATATCTATTTTACACATGATAAAACTGAAGCTCAGAAATGTTAAGTAAGTTTCCCAAGACCACCTAGTTAGAAAGTAACAGAGTTTAGATTCAAATCTTGGTTGTCTCCAACTTCCATGTTCTTAACTAATAACTGAATACATATATACATATTAATAAACATAAAAAATTTCAGAAAGGATGTATACAACCATGGTTTATCTATAGGACAATAGACTCTGACTTTATTAGTTAACTGCATATAAGTTTGCCTACATAAAAAGACACCTAAAGTAACAACAGCTTAAACAAAGTGGAAGTTTATTTCTCGCTCATGCAACAGTAAGAGATATAGATAATCCAAGGATAATATGACCTTGCTCCACAAAGTCATCTGACCCAGGCTTCTATCTTTCTGCTCTGCCATGACTACAGCACCAACCTTCTCCACATGGTCCAGGATGACACCCCCCCACACCCTTGTTCCAAGCAATAGGATGAAGAAAAGGAAAAAGAAAGCACACACCTCACTTCTCTGTAATTAGCTAAGGCTGATTTCAGCTACCATATCAAGGAAGCACAAAAAATGGAGCAGCTCAAACAAGAATTTGATTTCTCTCTCATGTAACAGTTTAGGAAAGGTGGGTAGGCTTTGTTCCATGAAATGACCCAGGGATTCAGGCTGCTGGAGTTTTCTGTCATCGTAAGCACATGGCCTCCATGTCTGGGTCTAAAGGAGTTGTTGTAATGATTCCCAATTTCCAGCCAGGAGGAAAAGGATAAAAAGAAATAGTGCACGTGTCTTAAGGATATGACCCAGAAGTTGCACATACCAGTGCCCCTCACATCTCATTGACACAAACTTAGTCAAATGACTATACCCAGCTTCAAGGAAGACTAGGATGTAATCTTTATTTTGGCTGGCCATAGAGTAGATAAAAATTCTACTGCTATAGAAAGAGTATGTTATTGTTTTACTGTGGGTGTGTGGGTGTGAGTGTGTGCATGGGTGTGTGGGTGCTGGTACCTCTGAGTATTTTCTAATTTTTGTACTATGAACAAAAAAACTAAAAACTATACTTTTATTTGAAGAGGCAAAAAAGCATTTCTTCCAACGAAGTTTCTAATCCTCAATCTAGGGAGAATACCTACATGCATCTTCTTCCTTTTTAAAGTGGTTTTCCTGGAAATAATGAAGAAGGAGGAAAAAAATATATATATACACACATATATATACACACATATATATAATTTTACATTTTTTTCTATTGTAGGTCAAGATTCTCTTAATATTTAACTTTGATGTCCCTCTTTTAAATCACAAATAATTACCCTAATCATAAAATTCTACTCTTGCGTAAGTCTTTAAAACTACCAAGTACCTTCGTGTACGAAATATACAACAGAAAAGTTACCAGAAACAGCGAAATGATTGGAGGGGCATTTCCTGAAAGTACAGGCAATGAGATGCCTCCACAGCCTGTGTGGTCTCCCTAGTCTCTTGTCTGTGTACTTGCTAATGGCAAAACACTCACAGAGAACACAGTTCTGGCAGCAATAGACAGAAGTAGCAAGGACATTTCCCTGTGATGGAGTAGCTTTGACCTATGACACATGCACTACAATCCTTCAGACTTGGGACAGAACATGTGCCAAACTAAAGCCCACCCTAAAATTCTGTAAGCTATAATATCCTAGCCTCTGTATTAGCGATCAGCAAGATCACAGTAAAATTATTCCTATAACCCATCATCCTTTTTCACTGTCAAAATGCCTTTTAAATAATATACAATGGTGACATTCAACAAAAATGTCATATTTAAAGTAAAATAATTGTTCTTATGCTTTGAGTGGGGGGGGGAGTATCACAATTTCATGAAAGCTACAGACCTTATTCATAAAAAAATATAATATATACAAAAATGGACAAAAAGTGTTGAAAAATTCATTTATCTCCCTAAACTCCTCCCAGATTTCATTTAGAGTATTTTCTCAAAGCTGGTCTGAAAGTCAAAGTTTCTGATCTGCACACTAGTAGAACTACTGAATCTTGGGGCAAGATCCCTAGGAATCTACTTTTTAATAAGTACCTTCCAGGTGATTTGTACATAAGGTAAAATTCCCAAGTAAAGATTCCATGAAGTAAAATCTAACAATGATAATTAAAAAGAAGAATCTGATACTTCATCTTTGGTCAAAGCATGTAAATACATTTGCCTGATGATTGTGTGGAGACATAGTATTGCATCCATCCACCAGAGGCCAGTGTAGGATCATTCCCTGAATTGTACTCTTACACCATACAATATACCACGTACATGTACACAATACAATATGTACTATACATAGTTGGTTTTAACTACTTCAAGAAATGGGGTATAAACAACTAACACTGTAGACAATATTTTACATTTTTTATATTTACATTCAAGATTCCTTTCATATTTAACCTTGATGTTTTTCTCTTTCGTATCAGAGAAATAGAACCCCAATCATAAAACTTTACACATGAGTAAGTCTTTAAAATTTACCAAATACTTTCATGTGTATTTCATCTGATTCTCACCACAACCATTTGAGACATACCAAACAGGCAGAATTAGCCCTGATTTACAGATTCAGAGAGTAAGTGACAGGCCTGTGGTCTTAAGAAATTAGTATATGCCTGGACTAGTACCCAGGTCTTCTGAATCCAAGGATTGAAGTGTCCCTTCCCATTACACTGGCCCTGCCCGTAACAAAATGAGAACTATAAAAGCAACATAGTAAATTATTTATAAAACTAAATATCTGCAACCTAAAAGATTTTCCTTCACCGTAAGATCATGTCCTATTGCCTACCACAAAAAGTTGCATTTACTTAAGGCAACCTCTTTAACTCACCTACACTGGAGAAAGTTAGGAGGAGTAATTTTTCCCTCTTTTTTAAAAAGTAAATACTTCTTAGAAGAAGTTTTCAAACTTTCTAAAGTAGAATAACATCTGCTGAACACATTTGTAAGAATATAGGACTCAAACATTGGCATGTTGGATTAGAGCAGTTCAAGAGGAGACTTAAATTATATATGTCTTTCACATTCTCTCATTTTATCAGGAAACTCCAGGAGAGCCTTCACAAAAAAAAAAATAAAAAATAGAACAAGAGCTTAAAGTAAAATAAGAAGGAAAAAGTCTGAAAATCCACTGTTCTAATCATTCTTATTGTTATTTTATTAACTCATAGGCTGTTTATTCAATCTAAAACTGAGACCCCAAAACCAATGGCAATATTCTGGATATGATGTTCATCAATACTATGCAAATAGTTAATATTGCCTTGCCAAATCAACCTCTAACTATACAATCTATAAACATATAGATTGCTATTCTGCCTTCACACATTTAGAGCATTTGGGAATCACACCATCCTTTATAAGCAGATTGCAATAGGAATGACATATCAGCTGATGAATTCTTCTAGGGTAGGGACCCTGTTTTGTTCATCTGAGTATTCCCAGATTCTAGCTCAATGCTTAAAACACAGAAGGAATCATCAATACTGAAATGACCTCAACATTAGCAAGAAGACCTGGATTGACACTATAATTAGGGACTAAACTCAACACTCAGATGACTCCCTACAACCCCAATCTTCTAAACAGTAGTTCATATACAACAAAATTGAATGCAAAAGGCAAATTAAGTCTGGAAAACACATGAAAATGATATAATGATTCCTCTCTGTGCTAAGGATGCAATGAACTGCAAGAAGAGTAAGCTGATGGGCGTCACTTAAATGTACCTCCTCTGGAACGAATCCAAATTAAGGAAAAAAAAGACACTAAAAATCATATACTAGACAGATTGTGGTTTGATTTTCATATAAGAGTTTGGTTAAAATAAAGTTTCCTGTTTGTATCCCTTTGGGTTTAGCTGACCATTTCAAAGAAAATATTATTGTTTCACGGCTAAAAGAACATTTTGCTAAAACCATTCAGATCTGAAACATGCCCATTCAATTGAATCAAAGGACACTGTCTTATGACCACCTCAGTTTTGAGTGGAACAATTTACCCTTTCCCTTCAAGTAATGATACACTTAGCAACAACGAATAAAAATAATGTCTCAAGTTAAAGAGAAATGCATATAAAACAAATATGCACCCACTTAATATTGTTTAAATTGGCTATTTAAAGATTGATAATGACCACCTTAAAAGTTTATTTAACTATTAGTAGTTCTCTTTCATTCTGTAAAAGTTTAAAATCCCATTTGTCTACAAAAGTTCAACTCTCTAATTTATATGTATACATAAAATATATCAAATATAAATAAATTGAAAAGATGTGTATCTTTTCAAGTAAATCAAACAATTTCATTCTTTTCAAAGAATCAAAGAAAATGATTCTTTTATGTGTATGAAAAATACATATTTTTAATTCCCATGTCTTCACTGAGAACGCATATTAGAAAAGGTAATTATTGGAACAAAATACTGTGCATTAAAAACACTGCCAAAAATAAATTTAATGATTATAATTCAAAATGTCATGCACATTTAAATACATTTTCTTTCCTTATCCAATTACATGTAAACTCCAGCAGTCACAAAAAACAAATGATTATCTATGAACCAAATATTCATGTTGAAATGAATATGAATTATAACAACTTCAGCTGAAGGTTTATGCTAATATATCTAAAACAAAATGGCTTGATCAGCTCAAAATCTGTCATAATTTGAAAGGGGAAATTTCCTTCTGCAATTGAACCAGCAATTTTTGTGTGTTTCATAATTTGTCAATTTGTTCCCTAAGTGTAGTGATTTAGTGATGACAAAAGAAATAGGGAAACAAATGAAAATTGCTTAATTACAGCTTGCAGATGTTCCCCCAAAGAGAAAAAACAGGTTAATGCTGCTGATGCTGTTTCCTCCACAGGACTCTGCTATAAATTAGTTCACTTCATTCAATATTTTTTTCCTTCAGTGTTCTATGTGATGTTTGATGTTATGTTGTGATAAAGAGATTACATACACATAGTTACTGAATTTATGTTCAATATAAAACTATCAACATTTTTTCTTACACTTTTATTCTTTTTGGCAATACTAAAAAACACATCAATAAAAAGCTTTAAAATAACACCGCTTCCTTACTCGCTCCCTTGGGATGCAAGATTAATTAATTTTTTTAATTGCCTAGTTACTTTTATTAGCAAGTCCTTATATGACGTCTTCTGCAAATTTCTCTCAAGGTAACATTATCCCCATGGCCTATGTCTTCAGTTAAAGTAAGTTTATTGCTATTTGCCATGATATTTTCAATTATCTTCTCTTTACTGTTAAATTCACATTTGCAAAAGCGCTTCCCGAGTTGCCTTTTTTTTCTTAATGTGGCTAACGTTAAAAAGGAAACAGAAAGGCACTGCAAATGGCCTGTGAACTAAAAACACCACTCAATATTCAGTAGGGAATTAAATGACTGATAACAACGGCACTGAAAATGTGGCTTCAGTGCCACCTGGAAGCATAAAGCTGGTCAGTTCGTTTCCAACTTCCTCTGACAGGCAATCTGCCAGATGCAAGGGTATCAAAACAATGTTAAGCCCTCTGGTCTCTATCTAACACATGACAGAAAATAACTGCAAAAGGCTACACAGCAAGGATTATTTTTCTTGTTGTGTTTTCTTTTATGAGAGAAAGCTGTTTTTATGCTCTACTGAAATTCCTTTCCTGCTCTGAAATTGGTAAGAGGGACAGCTGCTTTCTATATTTTTCTCTCTGGTATTTTTCTACAGCAGATTTTAAATTCATTCTTCAGATTGGGAAAAGCCTCTCTTTGCACCCTCATGGAAATTTAAAGATGCATTGCTAATATTCAAATTCAAAATAGCTTTGGGGACCAAGATGATACGTCAACTTCGGAAATGTGTTGTTTTATGTGCTGTCACCGGTTTCATTTTTAATTACATTTTTTAGAAGCTGTCAAGTATGAGTAGTGATATTCTTTTGGCTGAAATGACAACTCAAAATTTATCAGTCCAGAAATGTAAACCAAATCCCAACCCAAGATTCTAAGCTCTTGACAGAACGAACGCTCAATAAAGAAAAAAAAAATTAAAAGACTCCTGAAATGAGAACTGTGTAACTTTGAAGAAGTCACTTGGCCTCTGTGGGCCTCAGTATCTCCCAGGCAAAATACCTGTGACTCTTCCTTGACTCTTTCTTCTCCTTAATCCTCTGCCAGTACCCTGTTACTAAGTGCTGTCAGTCATTCCTTCACTGGCAGCGTCTCCTAGGCCCTTTTGCTTTCCATTTTCTCCCCAACTACCCTAGTCCAGACCTCCAGCAACGTACTTCTCCTTAGCCCTCAGCTAGTCTCCCTGACTCCAGATGTTTCTCTACTTCTTCTTTGCTCTACCTTTCAAAATCACGAGCAATGTGTATTAATGGGTTTTGTTTGTTTGTTTTAAAATTCTACTATGGTTCCCAATTACATAGTATATCAAAATCCAAACTTGAGCATCATTACACAGCCTCCTTCTCAGGCTCTCCCTTCTGTGCCATCCACTAAATGTGGGTGTTCCTCAGGCTTGTACCTAAGGCCCTCCTGTCTGCCAGCCTGTCATTCTGTATTCTCTTCTTTTCTTTTCACTGCATTTATTCAACCAATATTTAAGCATCTACACATTCTGCCCCACCAGGCACTGCTTTAGACACTAGTGTAATAGTGGTGAAAACCCACAAGACACCAGCTGTATGGAGCTGATGATACTCTAGAGAAGACAGGGTAAGTGTATTTTGAGGTAGCACATCCATTCCTGTTGGCATATATTATCTACACACCAGTGACCCCAGGTCTTGAGAAGAACTGCCCGATGCCCTACGGAAGGCAGAGAACAAAGTGGTTCAGGGTGTGGGCTTTGAAATCTGATTAGGACCATAGTCTAACTCCATCTCTTCTTATAAGGACACCAGTCATACTGGGTTGGGGCCCACCCTTATGACCTCATTTAACCCTAATTATCTCTTTAAAGGCCTTATCTCCAAATACAGTCCACGTTGGGGGTTAGGGCTCCAACATGTAAATTTGGGAGGCACACAATTCAGTCCACAATAGCAAGCTACCTAACTTTATGCCTTGGTTTCCTCATCTGTAAGTTAAAAATAATAAAATGATAAAAATTAAAATGTACGAAAGAACTCACTAGGTCATTATAATGATTAAACGAGATGATACATGTGAAGAGCTAAGCATTAATCCCTAGAACTTAATAAATGTTAGCTGCTATCAGTAGTAATATTAGACTTGTTTTTTAATAATCTCTCACTCCCAGATGTTTCTCTGAGAGAGGTATAATTGTACAGAGGAGGGTCAGATGTCTGGAGTTTGAATCCTATCTGACCTCAGGCAAATTATTTAATCTACAATGACTTTCAGTTCCCTGAGCTATAAAAAGGAAGAATAATAGCTAATTCTTTGCATCATGGTGGCAATTAAATAAGTTACTCGAGACAAATACTTAGCAATATATCCATAAATGAATCTAAAATAAAGAGCACTAGACAGTCTCTGCCAACTCTACAATTGAAACAGAAACACACTTTAAGCAATTATCTGGTATTTTAAAGCAGTACAGACAGTCCTGCTTTTTAACAGACTGCCTTATGAGAATCTGTAGCCTAAATCAGTGGTTCTCAAAACTAGTGGTACATCAGAATCACCTACAGAGCCTTGAGAATATAAAAATTTTAGACCCCTTGCTATAGTTTCATTTAATAAGCCAAAAGTTTATATATAAAGTTTATATAAAAGTTTATAGTTTCATTTAATAAGCCAAAAGCCTGGAAATCTATACTTTCATAAAAGTCTGCCATCACAAAAGTCTCCTGATATTCAGCCAAGTTTGAGAACTACTTGTCAATAGTAGAGCTGCTTACATATGTGGTTTTAAGTTTTCAAGTAGACATGTTAAAAATAAATATACAAATAAATAAATATACAAAAAAATAAATATACAAATAAATAAATATATATACAAATAAATATACAAATAAAAAGTAATATCATTTTTAATGATATATTTTATTTAAATCAATTTTCTAAAATATTATCATTTCAAATATAGTCAATATAAAAATATTGAGATATTTTACATTCTATTTTTATACAAGTCTCCAAAATCCAGTGTATGTTTTATGCTTATGGCATGTCTCAATTCAGATAGTAAATTTTCATCAGAAATACTTGATCTGTATTTAGATTTCATAAAGTTTACATTTTAAAGAAACGGATTCACCTACCCAAGTTGTCCCAAACACCTTTTAAAGTTTTCTAATAAATGAATTGAATATCAGTTTTTTTATTTAAATTTAAATTAATTTAAAGTAATTAAAATTTAAAACTCTGTTCCTGGGTAGCACTGGCCATGTTTCCAATACTCAATAGCTACATGTTGCTAGTAGCTACTGTGTTGGACAGTGCAGGCCTGTATGATCACAAATCATACGGTTACTACACCATTCATGAAATTTGTAATGCTGGAAAAGCACTGGCATCGCTCCTTAAATAACTCAATGTGAATTAAGTATATATAGATTAATCTCATGATTATACAATATTATTAAAATCTGAGAAAAACTGAAACCTATTCAACGGTGTTGAAACTCCGAGAGTTTGGAACTATCAAAGGCCAGTCCTCCAGCAATTTATAAAGCCACAGGCATAGCCATTTGTCCTGAACATTCAGACACACAATGTTCTACCTAATAGGAAAGTCAATTCAAATATTAACAAGTATGAAGAGAAAAAGGGAGGTTGAGTTGACAGGAATTTTTTTCAAAGATATGTTAAAAGAACAATAAAATGCTAAAAGCACAAAGCATTGCAAGTGAAATGAGAATAGCATAAAGAAAACTAAGAATGAAATTACATATCAAAATCTGAAATAAAATCTTTGATCTACACAGAAGAAAACAGGTTAAAGTAGACAACTATGGCAGTGAATAGAAAGCTGTTATTATGTGGCAATATAAAAACTCTAGAATCACTTGGAAAGCTGGATCCTAGGCATGTGAGAGAGAGAAAGAGAGATTTGGAAATAACTACTGTAACTCCCGACAGTTACCGTATGTCATAAAATGGAGTTGAAAAGATTTAATGTCAATTTCTAAGTCATTGGCTTCTTAATTATACAATCTCTGTGTGACAGCAACATGAGCAGTAATTACCACTCTAAAAGGTAGGAGCAAATGCTTCCCAAATGGGATCATGTGGTAATCCTGGTGTGGAAGGCAATTAAAAGAAATTGCCTTTTTCTTTCAGCAGTTTAGAAGTAACTCTATTAGGAAAAAAGGAAGTCAAATTGTCCCTCTTTGCAGACGACATGATTGTATATCTAGAAAACCCCATTGTCTCAGCCCAAAATCTCCTTAAGCTGATAAGCAACTTCAGCAAAGTCTCAGGATACAAAATCAATGTACAAAAATCACAAGCATTCTTATACACCAACAACAGACAGAGAGCCAAATCATGAGTGAACTCCCATTCACAATTGCTTCAAAGAGAATAAAATACCTAGGAATCCAACTTACAAGGGATGTGAAGGACCTCTTCAAGGAGAACTACAAACCACTGCTCAAGGAAATAAAAGAGCATACAAACAAATGGAAGAACATTCCATGCTCATGGGTAGGAAGAATCAATATCGTGAAAATGGCCATACTGCCCAAGGTAATTTACAGATTCAATGCCATCCCCATCAAGCTACCAATGACTTTCTTCACAGAATTGGAAAAAACTACTTTAAAGTTCATATGGAACCAAAAAAGAGCCCGCATCGCCAAGGCAATCCTAAGCCAAAAGAACAAAGCTGGAGGCATCACACTACCTGACTTCAAACTATACTACAAGGCTACAGTAACCAAAACAGCATGGTACTGGTACCAAAACAGAGATATAGATCAATGGAACAGAACAGAGCCCTCAGAAATAACGCTGCATATCTACAACTATCTGATCTTTGACAAACCTGAGAAAAACAAGCAATGGGGAAAGGATTCCCTATTTAATAAATGGTGCTGGGAAAACTGGCTAGCCATATGTAGAAAGCTGAAACTGGATCCCTTCCTTACACCTTATACAAAAATCAATTCAAGATGGATTAAAGACTTAAACGTTAGACCTAAAACCATAAAAACCCTAGAAGAAAACCTAGGCATTACCATTCAGGACATAGGCATGGGCAAGGACTTCATGTCTGAAACACCAAAAGCAATGGCAACAAAAGACAAAATTGACAAATGGGATCTAATTAAACTAAAGAGCTTCTGCACAGCTAAAGAAACTACCATCAGAGTGAACAGGCAACCTACAAAATGGGAGAACATTTTTGCAATCTACTCATCTGACAAAGGGCTAATATCCAGAATCTACAATGAACTCAAACAAATTTACAAGGAAAAAACAAACAACCCCATCAAAAAGTGGGCGAAGGACATGAACAGACACTTCTCAAAAGAAGACATTTATGCAGCCAAAAAACACATGAAAAAATGCTCACCATCACTGGCCATCAGAGAAATGTAAATCAAAACCACAAGGAGATACCATCTCACACCAGTTAGAATGGCAATCATTAAAAAGTCAGGAAACAACAGGCGCTGGAGAGGATGTGGAGAAATAGGAACACTTTTACACTGTTGGTGGGACTGTAAACTAGTTCAACCATTGTGGAAGTCAGTGTGGCGATTCCTCAGGGATCTAGAACTAGAAATACCATTTAACCCAGCCATCCCATTACTGGGTATATACCCAAAGGACTATAAATCATGCTGCTATAAAGACACATGCACACGTATGTTTATTGTGGCATTATTCACAATAGCAAAGAGTTGGAACCAACCCAAATGTCCAACAATGATAGACTGGATTAAGAAAATGTGGCACATATACACCATGGAATACTATGCAGCCATAAAAAATGATGAGTTCATGTCCTTTGTAGGGACATGGATGAAATTGGAAATCATCATTCTCAGTAAACTATCGCAAGAACAAAAAACCAAACACCGCATATTCTCAATCATAGGTGGGAATTGAACAATGAGATCACATGGACACAGGAAGGGGAATATCACACTCTGGGGACTGTGGTGGGGTTGGGGGAGGGTGGAGGGATAGCACTGGGAGATATACCTAATGCTAGATGAGGAGTTAGTGGGTGCAGTGCACCAGCATGGCACATGTATACCTATGTAACTAACCTGCACAATGTGCACATGTACCCTAAAACTTAAAGTATAATTAAAAAAAAAAAAGAAAACTCAACAACAACAAAAAAAGAAGTAACTCTAAACTTTACTAAAACAAGGCTACATATTCGTCTTGAAGACGTAGTGTTTAAAGGAGATAGAGATATATCAGTACTAAAATCAATGCAACCGTGACCCAAAGAACCATCACCAATGGAGGCATTTTAACATCTTTCAGTTTCAGCTCTTTTCTGTCAAACTTTCCTGGTTCTACTTAATGTCTTGAAGCCCAAGGCAAGTTTGGGTTCAGTAGTTATCCTAGACTCATCTCAAGCAGCCCCTCTGATGACTAGACTTTATTGCCGTCCCTCCAAACACAGGCTGGGTGGCCCTCCTATAAGCTCTCAGTCTCCACTGTGATACTTATCATGCATTAGTCTAATTTCCTGCTTGCTTATTTATCTCTACCACTGGATTATGAGTGCTTGAGAACACAAACTATATTTTATTTACTTTTTAATCTTCAGCACCTAAAATGATATCTGGACCATAACAAGACACTCACAGAATTAATTAATGAATTAATTAAATAAAAAATCAAATATAAGTATTCACATCAGTGTTTCTATAACCTAGAAAACATGATAGCAATATGACAGGCAAGAAGAAAGAAGCCTTTTTTTCCTTTTAAACAGATATTCTAGAAAGTCCTATAAATTAGTTACATTCACAGAGAAACTGAGACACAAAAGATTGAAACTTAGCTGCTTATCTTTGTCCACAATGTCAACAACATAACAATGTCTTTACCAATTATTTTAAAAATCTGCATGCTAATTTTCTAATACATATCTTAGAATTTGATTTACCCTCCTGAACTGAAGGTGCTATTGAGAATTCACTTATAATTGGCCGTTTAAAACTAATAATTAATATGTCTCTTTAAACATTTTGATAGAACATTGTCTTTACTATCAAACATGTACCACGGTTTAAAAACCTAGTTGCTCTAAAAAAGAAAAAACCACAAAACGTAATCAACATAAATGTACTGTAGTGAGAATTATGCTATAATATTAACAGTTTCCAAATGTTTTCCAAGAGTCTGAGGCAGTAATGAGAATTTCTTTCAACAAGGCTATAATTTAATTTTTTCCAGAGAAATATTTTTAATAGGATTACTGACCCTTTTAACACTCTTAGAAAGAAAATGAATCCCATAAGCATTCTGGTGTATAACTATTATAAAAATAAATAGAACAGTCAATCAGTGGAAATGGTAATGGACTTGAGAAACTAAACTTACTAAAGAAACGTACATAAGTATGCATGGTGATAACTACTTTAACAGAGAAAAGGCTCAGTGTGTATCAACAAAACAACTAAACACATTGAGACAAATGAAGGGCCTGGAAAGAAGCAGGGAAAATAGGAATTTTGGAAATACAGCTTTAATGCCTTTCTTAAACAGAACTAACCACATTTACCTTGATCAATTCTGCTGGCTATTACTCAACTCTCAGACCTGTCCCTAAGTCCTGGTTTCTCAGAAGGTATTTAAATGTTTAAAGGGAAAAAAGGACACTTACTGATTTAAGACACATTTTTACACTCATAACTCTGTGCTTTAAGAGGAATTTTTTCAGGTCATTAGTTTATAATGTGCACTGGTGCCTAGGGATATTTTGAAAGAAAAAAAAAAACAACTAGTGTGCTTGGAGATGCAGTTTATGTGACTTGCATCATCATTTATTTCAGATCAATTTGGGGTCCAAAACTGAACCCAAAATGAAGTTATCACATCTGCAACAGTTTCTTTCTCAGCATGCAATGATCATACTGGAATTCGAAAACAGAATAAGACCCCTTTTCATAAAAGTAAATGTATTATAACCCCCTAAATATATCAAAGTCCTTGCAAAAAGTTTTTATTCTTCTAGGGTACAAAAATAAAGTCAGCCTTACAGATGATTTCCAAAATAATGTGAATTATCAAAATGTCATTAGCATACCAAAATTCATTAATTCTGCCAATTTTACCCTTATTTCCACCACCCCACCACAGCCATTCATATTGCTGTTTGGGTCCAGAAAACACAAACTAAATCATTAGTCTCGAACAAAGCAGGTATCTTCCTAAACCCAGGTGCACAGACTAAAAGATAATTTGGTCATTATCAAGATTAATTTGATCTACATGTTATGTCCAAACAGATCATTCACAGTCAGCGTCAAAGTTAACTAGCTAGTTCCTAAATTTTTCATTTCCATTAAGTATAAACAAAAATCACCACATCTATGTTTTTTGTTTAAGTGTAAACAAAACAGATATCAATTATATTATATCTTGCCTGATAAAAGAAACAGGTTAGAATCATATTTTCTTTTCGTTATAACTACTACTTTTCTTTTACATTTATACATTATAACTATAATTTCCTTATAACTACTACTCTTGTTTTACATTTCTTTGGGACACATTACTCAAATCATGAAGTCAGGTATCTTAAGAGTGTCATGACCTCAGAGATTATGGAACTCCCTGTTCTCACCCTTGAGTACATATTAGAAGCACCAGAGGAGGTTTTTTTAATAAAATACGAATCCCTTGATCCTAGCTGAGCTTTAGAGTGGGCTCTGATGTCAATACATTCTAAAAGCGAGTCAGGTGAGTCTAATGTGTAGCTAGGTAGAGAACCAATGGTCTCAAAAATGTGGATCAATGACCCAGAAAGGATCAAGGTTGAGAGCAAGCTGATGGCAATCTGAAGCAGAACCCAGAAGGAAGATAACAACTCAAATGCCTAGGGGGCCACTTGAATGAATGAAGTAGACAATGTAAGCTCACATTTTTAGACTGTGTGAGTGCCAGAGAGCGTGACAAACTAAGGAGCTCACTGGGCAAGGGCTCCTGAGCTCTAGTTGATATTGCCATGAGGAAGTAACAGATCTTCTCACTGGATCCCCCCAAAAAAAACACAAATCAAGATTTTCGTGTAAAATTACCCAACTTTCAAACGTTGGCTCAATTAATAAGCAATAACACTGGATGAGGGAAACAAAACAAATAATGAAAAACACAACATGGGTTTGGCCTCATCACATCCAGTCTAAAGGGTTGTTTCCATTCTACAGAAACCACAACAGCAGCAGCAGCAGCAGCAGCATCACAACAGCAATACAAATACCTAACATTCAGTAAGTACTTATTATGTATTAGTCACTACACTAAGAGTTTCACATGGATTATCTCAATTAACGTTTCTCAACCTTTGAGAGAAGTACTATTATTATTCCTCTTTTACTCAAAAACTACCCCTGCCCCTGATCACATGGCCAGTAAGTGGTGATCCCAGGATCCAGAAGTGTGCAGTGTAATCCCATAGTCTATACTATACTATTTCTCTTTGAAATTTTTTAAAGTAGGCTTTTAACAACCTCCACTCTTTGCATTTGGCTTTCTTAAAAAATAAAAGGATTATATTAAATGATTTCTCAAGTCATTTTTAGTTATCAAATTCTGTGGTTCTGACACCATCACACAACTCTTGGATGTATGAAGACTGGTATTTATATCATCAGTAACATTAGGGCATCAGTCACGAGTGCCCTAGTAAGAATTACCTGATAAACGAATGGAATGAATGTTCACTAAATAGTCTTTCTCAAGAGGCAGCAAAAACATACACTTATAATAAAATTATTTATCTCCATTGCTGCAGAAAGTTTACTTCTCCATTTTACCTTGTGAAAGATGAGTAAAAGTGTTCAGAAATTCTTCATCATATGTTTGCTCATGACAATTAAGGAATTTATCCAAGACGTCTTTGATTAATTGATCTTCATCCATTATTTCCAATCCTGACATATGGGCAGACATTCCTATTCATGAGGCCACAGTATCTGCAAGACAGAAAAATACCAGCTAGAGAGAATCAGGCAATACCAGCCCCTTTGAAAATATTCTGGATGGGTAGGTTGAAAAATTCCAAGGCTCCAAAACAAAGATCAAGATAGTTACTAGAGCAGTGACCTCTAGTTCAAGAGACCAGAGTTTTATTCATATCTTTGCTGCTGAATTGTTAACTATCACAATTTTATTTTTTGCTTCAGTCTGCTCATTACTATCTTCTTAATTCATAAGAATATTGTCATATATTCATATGACTATTGTCACCCAATTACACAATTAGAAACTCAAAGTCTTTCGAGGTAGGAGGAACTTTAAAGAGTACTCAACTAACCACCCATCCAATGGCAATAGCTTAGTGACTTATTTAGCAGTTACTGTGTACCAGGTGCTGTTCTGAGCAATTTTTTTGTTAGTTATCTTAACAGTCCTAGATAAGGTCACAGAGTCAGTATGGAGAAGTGCCAGCTCAAGAAGTCTGATCCTAGAAACCATGCCTTTAAACACTTCACTGTCACTCTATTCATCGGGTGACTCCACTCCCCCCCTTCCCTACTATCACTGACAAACAGTTGACTTGCCTTTGCATCAACACATCCAGGGACTGGTAACTCTGAGCATTCCAAAAAAGCCTTTGGACAGCTCTGTTAAAAACTTTTAAAATTAAGCCTAAATCTTTCTCCCTGTACTCTACCCCAACTGGTTTCTGAGCCCCTGAGGTTGTACTGAAAAATTTCTGTCTTTCTTATACATGACATCTTTTCAAATATTTGAACAAGGTTATACCATCCTTTGTCAATCTTCTCATTTCATTCACTGTAACAAATTTATTTTTCAAAACCCAGCTCAGAATTCCATTTGTCTCTGAAGACTTTATCCCCCATCTCCCACTACTGCAGGAAGAGTTAATCTTAATTTATCTGTGCTGCTCCTGTACTAGGGTTTACTGTTAAATTTATCATGCTGTATGGGAAACAGTTGTGTACATTTCTGTGTTCTCTACTAGACTCAGAGACATAAAAGGCAGAGTCCACATCTCTTCATCTTTGTATCCCAAATGCTTGATAGCTCAGGATGTGGCATAGAGCTGGCAGTCAATCAATATTAAGCTAACATTACTCATTTGAGCAAGTACAACAGTCAAGCATTGCTAGAAGCTGGCAAAACACTAAACTATACTTGCTCAATTATTTCACCCGTGCCCTATATGACATGGTTTCAAGTCCTTAAATCCTCTTGATCAATCTATCTGGAAAAAATTTCACATTGACTGCATCCCTTTATATATACCATCCACAACTGAACACAAGACTCCTGATATGATGAGATTAGACTGACTCACATTCTCAATATTCCACTCATGCTATACAGCTAGAGCTCACATTCACACTGGTAGTGGCCATTCCACATTGTCATTCATTTAGCACAGTGCTAACTGAACACCTGTCAGCTAAGACACAATGCCTCAATCCAAGCACAGTTTGGACTTCATTTTCACTTATGATATTTCACCTTGTTAAACTCCATTCATTCTGCATAAAGTATTCTTCTTACATAGCTTTGAGAAAATTATCTACAGAAAGCAGACATGTAATTACTGCCTAAGTAGCCAGTATACTACATGGGGGACCATAAAAAGTAGGGGTTTCTCCAATAATGGAAGGAAGGGAGAGCACCAAGCTTCCTTCTATCTGAAACAAGAGTAAACATCTGTTAACTTTTTCTCCCACTTTTCCTTTATACATTTATCATTTTAAAAATACAAATAGCATGTGTATGATATAAAATTCTAAAAACCTTTAAGTATCTCCTGACTCTGCCAGTTCCCAACCATCAGAGGTAAATTCTGTCAAGAGTCTAAAGAATATACTTCTAAATCTTTCCCTATAATGTTTATAGAGAATAATAGATTTTTTCTAAAAATGGAACCATATTATATGTTATTCTTTACAGCTTTAATTTAATAAGTTATCATAGACATATCACCACTTTAGTATATGCAGATCTAGCCTATTCTGTCAAATAGCTGTATAGTCACAGCCCAGCTCTGCCACACACTGTGTAGCACTGGGCAAGTTACTTGACCTCTCTGGGTCTCTGTTTCCCCGTATCTATAAAAAGGGATTACATCCCAGCACTTTGGGAGGCCAAGGCAGGTGGATCACCTGAGGCTGGAAGTTTGAGACCAGCCTGAACAACATGGAGAAACCCTGTCTCCACTAAAAATACAAAATTAGCCAGGCATGGTGGCACATGCCTATAATCCCAGCTAGTCAGGAGGCTGAGACAGGAGAATCGCTTGAACCTGGGAGGCAGAGGTTGCGATGAGCCCAGATCACACCATTGCACTCCGTCCTAGGCAACAAGAGCGAAACTCTGTCTCAAAAAAAATAAAAAGAAAAGGGGGGATTACAACTGTACAGGTCTGTATTTCCTTAACCTCAATTCCAAAATACCAAAAAGCTCAGGAAAAAAAAAAATTCATAAGATAATGCCCAAATGCATTTGGGGACAAGACCTGATTGAATTAACATGAGAGTACTTATGCCTTTTATTCTACTCAGCGTTACTATTCATATATTTCCCTGTAGAAATACCAATATGCTTGCATATAAGGTGCTTTCCCAGAACCAGCCTAGAGATTTTGTATAATATATGGCACACGCACTGATTACCTTTCTAAACTCCAAAAAGTTCTGAATTCTGAAGCACATCTGACCCTGAGGGTTTAAATAAAGAATCGTGAAACTACACATGCCTCACAAGATTACTATGAAAATTAAACGAGTACGCATGGCATCTCAAAAAATGTTAGCCATGATGATGATGATGATGGATCAGTCTTAATATTCTGTCCTTTGCCTACACAAAGACCTGTTATAACTGTGCCCACTCAACTTTGAAGGCAGCGATGTTACCTAAAGATAAATCAAGATAATTCCTCATGTATTACAACCCCAGATAAAGCATAGAGTTGTAGAGGATTGAGTGAAAATTAAAAGTGTAGCTGGGTATCAACTTAAAACAAAAGAAACTGTTTCAAGCTATTTGTACCTGAAAAAATTAGATACACGAAAAAGCACTGGTTATGGCTTATGCACATTTACTTGTAACACCACCAGGCTTTAGCAATGCAAAGCTGAATAAACTGTGTTTGCAGTAGCTAGACAGTAAATAATGATAAGTAAACTCAAAGGTGGCTATTATTTCACTACAGTAGGATGTATACTTTATTACAAGAATTTCAACGTCAATCTGCTTTTCCAGAATTGGAGCCTAGAAAAATTTCAACATTTTATTTTATCAATCTCTTCTTTAAAATCATCTTTGTAAGTTACTTCAGCAAACAAATACCAAACAGATGCAGCCAGGTTGTGGTTTCCATTCCTGTAAATGTCTTCTCATAATGCTTTAAGAGTGTTAATAGAAATTCCTTTAACCTTCTTTTCCACTTCTTAAACTGGCATATTTTGAGCATTATCCAACACATCTCAGTAGTACTGAAAGCAAACAATTAACAGATTGTGCCAGCACAAATTCAAAATCCTTCTAGGCCTTTAATTTTATTTGTGTGGTTATCCCAATATAGAGATGACATGTTTTTATTGACTATTTATTTATTTATTTATTTAGAGACAGAGTATCGCTCTTGATGCGATCTCGGCTCACTGCAACCTCTGCCTCCCAGGTTTAAGCAATTCTCCTGCCTCAGCCTCCCGAGTAGCTGGGATTACAGGCGCCTGCCACTATGGCTGGCTAATTTTTTTTTGTATTTTTAGTAGAGATGGGGTTTCGCCATGTTGGGCAGACTGGTCTCGAACTCCTGACCTCAGGTGATCCGCCTGCCTTGGCCTCCCAAAGTGCTGGGATTACAGGCGTGCGCCACTGCGCGTGGCCTTATTGACTTTTTAAAGGACTTTTGGAACATGCAGTTTCACAAACTGTCATTATTGAAGAGTTTAACAATACCCATCTTCAAATTTAGAACTTGCCTTTTCTATAAAAATATAAACCTAATATTAAAAGTCCCCAGGGACTGACAGAACAGATAATGACTTATCAGACAGCCAAGTGGTTTATGCAAATCCTAGTGGGTTTCTAAAAGGAAGCAATGCATTTTCAATTACCATTCACATACTTTTGTGTTTTTATCACGAAGTATTTTTCTAAAAGAAAAAGAGGGGGAGAGAGAGAGAGACACTTGCCTAGATAACAGAATTCTTTGTTTTGCTTTGGTTTTTATGTTTTAAGGCTTTGAGCTCCACATGAAAGACTCAAAACGTCTTGTGATAAGTAAATGTGTATAAATATCTGCTGGTAAATCACAAGCAACACTTTCACAATCATGGCCCCCAGAAGGAAATACAGGGAGCATGCACTGCTCCATGGACTACTACACTTCACTTGAAGACCACAGGCCTGGTTAGGAATAGGGTTCACTTTTTGCCAAGTCACTGAGAGATAGAAAAATCATATAACCTCCCTTAAGTCTTGTTTTCTGCTATCAAATAATGAAGCTAACAACCACCTAAGCTAGTTAATGTTATGTGCTCTCTGAAAGAACATTATTATGAAATATGATACATGAAATTGTCACCACTGATTCAGCACACCTTTGATGTTTACTTTCAGGTCCCTGCTTAATGAACTTACTCAAACAAAATGCAACTTTCAGACACAAGAGTAGTAGACCTAAAAAAGCAAATCACCACAAGCTTGCTTCTCTGAAAGTGCACAGTGTACTTTTTAACAGCACTAGGGTTATATGTCTGCAAAAAAAAAAAGTGGGGGGGCAGGGGGGAGGTGGTTAAAAACTCTGAGAGTTGTGCAGGTCTATCAAAGCCCACTTACTCAAAATGGTAATCTTCTGCTCAGTAAGAATCTACTGCTATACTGAAAGGTAAGATGGGATATTATCAAAATATTATCACTTTGCCTAAGGAAATAAAACCATCAACATTTGTACTGCAACAATTGCACAAGGTGTGTGTCCTTTTATATTTGTGTAAATGGTCAAATCTCCAAAAGACCAAACTGCACTCTAACTGCAGAGATTTAATAGGCTGCACAGATGTGATTAGAACAGATCTAGTATGAACTGATTTCTTCTTCCTTGACTGAACTACAACAATTTTGCATCCTCTAATTTTTTTGTCTTTCAGATAATATCAAGAAGAAAGAAAAACATCCAGTGAGAAATTCAGATTCTGTGACTTGAGAGAAACCTGAAGGTTATCTAGTCCAATCATAGAGAATAAATGAGTATGGGAAAGAAACTTCATGTGGGGTTTCTGTCAACTAATGACTCTATTGATGAGCAGTAATGGGTGGTTCTCTCATCATAAATAGTCATGAGATGCTCATGATTATGAACTTTAAAGTGTATCTGAAGCCATCAGGAAATTAAGCACAAAGCAGCAATCTTACCCTGGCAGGTATATTCATGCCTCCATTTATGTTCCATACCCCAATAACATTCAAAAGGCCACAGGCTGAGCACATATTACATCATTATATATTAGAGACCTACCAATACAAATGAGAAAACAAAAGAAGAAACAAAAGGAATAAAGGGAAAGCAGAATATAAAACAAAACATCTCTTACAAAACAGAAAAGAACCTACACTCCTTTATTGTTTTTCATCAGGATGAAATAAAAAACATACAATTCTAGCATCAAGGTATACGCTGCACTTCAAGTTATGAGCTTTTATCAACAGCCTTTTCTAACATGTAAAAGGCATAGACCTCTTCATTATCACCAAAAAAGTTGATAGTATAAGCATCTAGACTTCCATATATTATTAAATTGCCCTAGGTATAGCCCTTTGCTGTGAATATTAAAGGAAGTATTTGGAAGGAGGTAGGAAAGGTTTGGGGATTACTGTTGACTACAAAGCTTTAAGAGAGAGATGAATTGCGTTCCATGCAGCAGTAATAGAAGTATGTCTTAATAGCTATACATTTCCCCTTGACAAATTCTCACCTAAAGGAAAAGGGAGCACATCCATCCTAAAAACTGCATATAATTTTTAAAATGTGGGTTCAGATTATAAACAAAGATAGCACAAAGGATGCCTTAACAAAAACAGATCTAGGTCCTTCCCTAAAGAGACTTATAATTTACATATTGACTTTTTTTTTTTTTTTGAGACTGAGTTTTGCTCTTGTCACCCAGGCTCGAGTGCAGTGGAGCAATCTCTACTCACTGCAGCCTCTACTTCCTGGGTTCAAGTGATTCTCCTACCTCAGACTCCTGAGTAGCCAGGATTACAGGCGCACACCACCACACCTGACTAATTTTTGTATTCTGAGTAGAGACAGGGTTTCACCATGTTGGCCAGGCTGGTCTCAAACACCTAACCTCAAGTGATCCGCCCACCTCGGCCTCCCAAAGTGCTGGGATTACAGGCATAAGCCACTGTGCCTGGCTGTAATTTACATATTCTATACAATACTCTGTTTCTGTAATAGCAATAACTCAGATTTTTATGTTATACTAAACTTATGCATGATGTTAACATTGCAGAAGCCTGGACCAAGGCTGCATGGGCCCTCCCTATATACCTCTTTGGAACCTCCTGTGAATTCATCTTGTGAATCTATAATTTTTTTTAGCTTAAAAATGGGGGATGGAAACAGAAAAGAAGGATAACTCAATTAAAACAAAAGATATTTAGGAAAAGAAAATTATCACTAAAAGTTTACCAAGAATGTTGGAACCAGATGTGTTGTTTTCCCCCAACAGAAAGCTCTGGGAGAGAGACTAATACTAATCTATAATATTACATGCATAAACAGAAACTTTCCTCTTGAAAAATTTGCTTCCCTTTCCTGTTCATTCACCCAAGCTACTTTAATGAGGTTTCTTGAGGCTATCATTCATTAAGCCCTTCTGTTCACCAGCAGATTGTATAATACCCATTTTATTTCCCCAAGTATACTCTTCCTCCTAGCTGTTTAAGTCAATCCAGAAATGTCTGCATTGACTCACTGAGGCAGGTCACCTAAGTATTAGATTGTTTTCAATTACACAGTTATTAATTCTTTTAAACAAAGAAAAATGCAAACCAATTAAGCATTTGAACTCTCCCCACTCACTCCCTATCATTTTTTAAAAACAGATTAACTGTGTACATGGAATCTGTAGGATATACTCATAAGACAAATCTCAGGAAATCCATTGTTTTTGAAATCAAAAAGAATGCCTTTTCACTACCATTTTTGCTTGTTTTTTTTTTAATCATTTAGAGTTGTGTGGAATTACAAGTAAACACCCTATCTTCACCCCCTAACAAAACTCCTATAAGCACGCTAACTGACCTCTAGACATTTATCAAGAAAAATTTGCCATACCCATATTTCAGCCATGTCCAAAACTGATCTCCTAGCCTCAGAAATGCTATCAACTATATCAATGAGTTATGGGTAGTAACGGCGAGTAATTCAGTGAACACTTTTTTCAAGACTCCTGATAAAACTGTGAATCCATAAAGCAGTAAGGTTTCTGAGTCAACTTTACAGCTCTATAATCACACAATATTTCAATCATAAAAGATTTATTAGCTCAAACCTAATCCCACCCTCATATAAGATACAATGTCCCACTAAAGGTTACTTTATACTGCATACTATGACACAAAGGCATCCACTCTTAATTAAAGTTGTCCCCTTCTCTCCAACTTCCTGAGCCTGTTAGCCACCTGCACAATGCACAGGACTTTAAACAATACCAAGAAGCCTACTCTAAAGCAAAACCCACACAGCTGGTTAGGAGCAGGTGTAGACCAACTGAACTAAATCACCTAGGAGTTCATTTCTAAGTGTTTCAAAATACCAGATCTTGCAAATAAAATCAACCTCTATTTCACTTGGCATTCTCTTAAAAGAAGTAAGATTTTAGATTTGTTTCCCAGCTATTTTGAATTATAAATTCCTAAGACTGTGGAATAATAAATGGGCTATAAGAGGTAATACAATGCTTCCCCAGTTTCCAATTTCACTCAATACTTTATTTGCAATTTTGCCTCAATGTACAAAACATAACACACACATGCACATATATATATAATTTCTTTTTGCCAATATGGTTTCTATACTCAAAGATAGAAATTAAGAATCAGGCCAGGTGCACAGTTCGTGCCTGTAACCCCAGCACTTGGGAAGGACAACATGGGGGATCACTTTAGCCCAGTAGTTCAGGACCACCTGGCCAGTATAGTGAGACCTCATCTCTACAAAAAATTAAATCATTAGCTGAGCATGATGGTGTCCACCTGTGGTCCCAGCTACTTGAGAGACTGAGGTGGGAGGATCACTTGGGCCCAGAAGGTGGTGGCTGAGTTGAGCCAAGATTATGCCACTGCACTCCAGCCTGGGCAACAGAGCAAGACCCTGTCTCCAAAAAAATCAATAAATAAATAAAATAAAAAATAAAAAGAATCACAAACTCCTAACTCCTTTCCTTCTCTAAAAATAAAGTATTTCAGTAAATTTTTTCTAGCAAGAACATTTTTCTAGCAAAACTCCTCTGAAATGTTTTCTCTATTTTGTTTTCAAGAAAAGAATCCACCTTAAATCAGAGATCATGAAATTTTTTAGGACGATACCAGTCATTCTGGTCAGGTGGCCATATCTAACTAATTGCTTTAAATAAAAAATGTCAAGTCACTTGTCATGTTCTTCTCTTGACAATACATCATACTAACTGTAAATTGCTTCCTTCTATACATTTCCTCTTCCTTCCTCTTTTCTTTGTCAGTTTCAGTTGTGGCTCCTATTGTGGAATTCATTCAACGAGCCAAACATCTACCTTTCCAACACAATTTATCTTATTTCCTCAAAAATCTGCCACTTAGTAAAACACTAATCATTGTCTATGCTTATCCTAATGCTATGAAAAGTTGCCACTGACCTTATTGCAAACACTTGTTAACTCACTGAGAGACAATGAAGTTTAAGCTGTTTCTCCATTTATAAAATGGGGATGGAAACGCTTGAGAGATGCACTACATTTCTTGAAATGCACTGTCATGAGTTCACAGAACAGTCTTTCTCCTCTGCCTCCCTCCAACCCATCATATCCACAGACCACTGCAGCTGTGTTACCCTTGTCAATTTATGTAAACTTTTCTGATCCTGAGTAGTTTGAGTGTAAAAATAAAGGGATGGGGCTTGAGGTTGGCTTCCATCTTCTTTTTCCAATTATGTTTCCTTTTTTGTCCAATTACTAGGCCAGGATATCCCATTACTAAGTTTTTATTTTTCCCATAAGATAAAGGTTGTTTACTCTGTTTTACTCTGCCTCAAGGCTTAAAAATGGGCTGAGCAACTTATAACTGTGATTTCTTAATGAACTTCGAAGAACTTTTAAGAAAAGCTGAATGTGGGAAGAATGTAAGGCATGTTCATCTGCAACCAAAAGTTGCTTCATTCTACTATCATATATGTTCTTTAAGGCAGTAGTTCCCAACCTTTTTCGCACCAGAGACTAGTTTCGTGGAGGACAATTTTTCCATGGACCAGAGTGAGGGGGACAGTTTCAGGATGAAACGATTCCACCTCAGATCATCAGGCATTCGATTCTCATAAGGAACTCACAACCTAGCTCCCTCACATGCACAGCTTACAACAGGGTTCACACTCCAATGAGAATCTAATGCCACATAGCAGATCTGACAGGAGGCAGAGCTCAGGCAGTAAGGCTTGCCGGCCTGCGGCTCACCTCCTGCTGTGAAGCCCTGTTCCTAACAGACTGCTGACCGTACCTGTCCGTGGCTCAGGGATTGGCAACCCCTGCTTTAAGGGCAAGACCTGTGTCTGATTTTTTTTCTAATTCTCCACATGGCTTTGTACATAGTAGATGCTCAATAAATATAGTTTACTATTTTATATTTAGTTTCAATGCTGAGGACTTTTGGAGATCAGGAACCTTGTATGAGATCACTGTAAGTCTAATGCTCTCCTAATGGTATAGCAAGGACTTGGAGTCTTAAAACCCATTTTCAAATGTGCTACTAATTTCTAGTCTTGTCAAGAGACAACTAACCCATTCAGCAACTAATTGTTATGCTAAAAATTGCCTGTTTTTTGATGTTAGTAAAATCCAAAGGCTAAAACACATCTAAATCTATCCATGGTTTCTATTTTTGCATTTCTTATTTTGTATTTACAGTGAAGACATCCAATATATCAATTTTATGACAGTTGTCCTTATGGTTGCTGTAATTTCAAGTATCTTAATCATTATACAACACTTTATATAACACATAAATAGGTTAGGGAAATAACCCAATATCCTTTTGCAGATTAAAAAAATCATCACAGAAGGAACTAGAAGAGATGACGATGCTTTTTTAAGGATGGATCGACATTTCAAATGATGAGAATCAACCAATCAACTGAGCTACATACATCTGTTTAAAAAAAAATCAACCCTGAAAATATACACTAAAATTTTGCAAAAAATTAGTCACTTATGCAAATATATTTAGGTAATATATGTACATCTTCATCATTAGGTAAGATTTACTATGTACATTCTATAGACATTTTAATCCATTAATCCTTACAATAAGGTAGTTATTATTGCCATTTTAGAGATAAGAAAACTGACACTCAAAAAGGTCACAGAACTGAAACTCAAACCCAGATTTGCCTAGCTCTGATCATTACATTTTATCATCTAAGCCATATGGAAACTGATCAAATGACCAACAATAGTGGAAGGTTAGGTAAATTAGGTTGCATTTAGAAATTATGCTACTATTAGAAATTATAGGCTGGGCGAGGTGGCTCACTCCTGTAATCCCAGCACTTTGGGAGGCCAAGGCAGGTGGGTCACCCAAGGTCAGGAGTTTGAGACCAGCCTGGCCAACATGGCAAAACCCCATCTCCACTAAAAATACAAAAATTAGCTGGGTGTGGTGGCGTGTGCCTGTAATCCCAGCTATTCGGGAGGCTGAGGTAGGAGAATCGCTTGAACCTGGGTAGCAGAGGTTGCAGTGAGCCAAGATCGTACCACTGCACTCCAGCCTGGGAGACAGAGCGGGACTCCATCTCAAAAAAAAGAAAATAAAAGAAATTATAAAGGTAGTTTTTGCTATCAAGATCACTATGGAATATTAAACTCTTCCTTGGCTGAACACTTTGCATACATTATCTCATTTAATCTTTTCCCGACAACTTTTTGAAGTAAATATTTCTATTATCCTCATTTCAGAGACAGAGAAACAGAGGCTTAAGGATTAAGATGACTCTACCTGAAAAACAGAGGCTTAAGGATTAAGATGACTCTACTACCTGAAAAATAGCAGAGCTGGCAAAGAAAACCAGGTGAGCTTGACCCCAAAAGCCCATTTTCTTAATCATTACACTGTATTATTACTCAGTAGCTGCCTGATATAAAGTTGGTAGAGGGCCTCGAATAATTACAACTCCTTCCTTCTGAGCCTTGCATTAAAGAAAATGAGACCACAAAAGAGTACCTCAAAGTTAAAATGAATAGCACTGGTATTAGTGGTCTCTGCTTCAGGACAAATACTTTCTCATTTGATTCAAAATAGTGTTTATTTAAACCATAGAAACTATATGTATTTCTTCTGTGTTTTTCTAAAATGTTCTTAATTTTTAAAAATCAAGTTTTGCCCAGATTTCTTTTTATCTGTACAAATAGTGAATTGTGTTGCCATTGTTGCTAGTAGTGAAAGAGTTAAATCCTGAGGGTACACCCTGTTGGGTATCTCCCTCAACCATCTAAAGAAAGAAAAAAAAAGGTCACAGTCAGTTACTCCCATTAGATCAGTGTTCATAAGAACATCTGTAGGCACACATACACACTCTCTTTACAGTCAGCCTTCTGCTTGCCACAGTCATAGTGGGCAGTCAGTGAATCTTCCCCAAGTGCTGACAATTAATACCTGGTTTAGCGGCAAAGATTCAGAGAGGCGTGAGCAGCCCCTCTGGCCTTCAGGTAGGTCTGATACCTTCATTTCTACCAAAGCTAAAAAATGGGAGCCTATGTTAGTAAACTTTAAGGGAATGAAGATGCCACATTTTGGCAGTGTGTTAGTCACAAGTGGATTTGGTGTCTAGATAGGGAAGGGATGAGTAGAATTTGGAAAATGTGGGGCTTTCTGTTCTCTGGCTGCTTCAGGGATTTAATTATTAGGCCTTTAGAGCACTATTATTAATCTTCGTACATAAATCGTTCTCTGGCCTAAGACAGGAAGGAAGACCTAATCCTGGTTTTACTGCCAGCAGAAATAAAATAATATATGCCTCAAACCTGATTAACAGTGCAAGATACTGTTATTCACACATTAAATGCCTGAAGTTACTTACATGAGGTTACTTGCTACTCTGGAGCAATCAAGAAAACATGGCCAGCACGGATCAGCAAGATTTAATGTTTCACAGTACAGTATCTTTCTTTGGAAAAGAAAAAGTCAGTTCAGATATTAGGAACTATAAACCCAGACCTCATACTATGAGTCCTTTCATTATACTCAACTATGCCCTAGCATCAGAGAGAATAAATGAAAATCTCCCTGCTGAAGAATGTTAGCATGGGGTTGGGAAAATTGTATATATTTATTGGTCCTATATTTCTGTCCTTTACAAAGAATCTTTAATGTGTTGACCTTGAAGCCTCCCTCAGCTGAAGAACAGGATCTTATTCTTTTAAATCTGCCTGTTTTTATGTAGCCTATTAAAAGGAAAAGACTTCAGTAGGTTATTTTAGATATAGTATAATCATTTAAAAACTCTTTTTAAAAACCAAGGTGTGACTAATACAGTCATATTGAAACTATGGAAGAGATACAATGGTCTACTCCAGTGAAAAATATATTCAAGTTGATAAAGCAAAATTTCAAAAACCAAATGTGGCAAAATCATGTGAAAACACTTTCAATGTTCCTGTTTATTCTTTAAATGCATACATCATCTGGTTAAAGTGAGTAATCTAAAAATTAATTACTCACACTTGAACCATGTTACAAGAGGAGGTAATTCATCTTAGCAATAAGAAACTTTACCACTGTTTTTAGGGCCTTGAAATTATGAAATGAGCCAAAAGCAGAGCATCAAAGGGAAAACAGGTCAAAAGCCCTGTTTCAAAAATCTTTAGGGGCCTAGACTAAGCTACAAAAATGGACAATCCTCCTTATGTCTTGCCCAAGAAAATGTTTCTGTGTAATCTACAATAATCATGTTTTCACTTACGAGAAGCCACAATTCCTACAGCAACCTTAAAATGAAACCAAGAGGCGACAATAAAAACATTGCTTTAAAACAACTGTTCTTGAAAAATCCCTTTGGATCTGGAATCCATTACCACTGTATGGCTTGCCTTGTATCTCAATAACAGTCATCACAGGTGTTTGAAACAAGCAGGCCTTGGCTTTGGTGTTCCCCCCACCCAAAATGGGACAACTCTCTGATCATAATCACTCAGGCTGAGTGTAATCACCTACAGTTTTCTGAAGTGAGGGTCAATAATGTCTCCTTTTAGTTTCTATGAATAGCATTTTTCATAGTTGCTCAGATGCCTTCCCTCATGTAGGCTTGGGTAGGCCATGATATAAATAAAACACTGCCTAGATTATTTTATAAGCAGGGCAGTTTGCTGAATATACAACTGAGGGAGACAGGCTTGTTTTCATAACTTTGATAATAATCCTTCTGAGACACCATTTCCTCACCTGCTTTAATAACCCACCAGATAATTGTTGAAAGATCACCCCCTTACGAGTCTCCCAAGTAGACTGAAAATAATAACTACAAGAGATTATTTAGCAGTAAATTACAGCTGATCTACAGAAGTTCTTTAAAGCAAAAAAAAAAAAAAACAAAAAAAAAACACTACCATCTCATTAGAGTGACCAGAGATTCTAAATAGTCCAAGGAATCTTTGCAGGAGGAATAAAGATAAATTAGATAAATTATAGTATCAATTAACATTTATTGAGTGTTTATGTGCCAGGCACTGTTCTATGTGATTTACACGTGCTATCCCATTTATTTCTCAAAACAGCCCAGTGAATATATACCAAGATTATCCCCAGTTAGACAAAGGGTGACAAGAAGAATAAAATATTAACTATCTTCTGTTAATAAATTAACTACTACCAGCACCCTCATCATATATGTTTATCCAATTCTTTTAGTTCAAATGTTTATCTGTCTATACCCACTGACCTGATTCCCATATCCTAAAGCCCCTTCTCATCCTCTCCAACCTTATCAACTGCCATTACTGGCAGGTGCGTATGCACTAGACCTTATTTTTGGTAAATTTTAAAATAATCATAACTATCGTCTACTATATGCAAATCCCTGTTCTAAGTACTTTACGTATATTCAACTATTAATCATAACTGACATCAATATATGAGGTTGGTAAAATTATTATCTCAGTTTTCAGATGAGGAAACTGAGGCACACAGAGGTTACATAACTTGCCCAAAGTCATGTAGTTAGTGGCAGAGCCAGGATTTGAATCCAGCCAGTAAGCATTCAGAGTCCACACTCAGCCATTGTTTATACTGCTTTTGAAGCATATTAAGAATTAACTCTTAAAAGTCAAGAAATCTGTGCTATGTTTTGTTTCCTTTAACATTTGGTGCACAGGACATCACACTGCAAACACGGAGTGTATTCCACAACTCTCTAAGGTAAACAATAATAAAATAGAAATTTATCAAGCTTCCTTCATCTAGTAAATATTCTTTTTGTTGTAACACAAGTATGAAATTCTGAATAATTCAAACACTTCTATGCTTAGTCCCTGCTTACTTACTACAGAATTATTAAAGAATTACCCAAAAGTTCTTGGACTGGAAAGATGTGAAAAAGCCACTAACTCTATTTTCCTAGAATGAAGATGAAAAGAAGATGTGTTTAGGAACCTTCTCTGCTTCCCTAAAAGAACCCTAAAAACAGGAGTAAAAACAGTGAAGAAAACAAAGGACCTTCAAAGTGCACTCGTTAAAACCTAATAACTGTATTTCTATTACTAAATGTAGAAGTGGTAAACATCTTTAACAGGCAATGTCTCCCCTGCACTCTAGGGATTCAAAGATCCATCTTTCGGTTCTGTAAGACAGTCACGGCTTTTGTAACCTCGGTGCCCCCTTCAACCTCCCGCCCCAAGCACCTCCAGGGTCGTCAGGGGTGTAGTTTTGAGTCGCGCTCCTAAGCATCCAGACAGGCAGGACACCGTAACGACATCTCTGCCGGGAGTCCCTTCAGACTGCGGTCTCCAGGTAACCGCACTCCAACAGAAGCAGTTGTGCTTCCTATCGGGTCACCTGTTCAAAAGTCCCCAGGAGAGGCTCCAGCAATACCAGGGTAGCGGTTTGCCCGACACCGCTCCGGGCGCTGCAGCCTTCCGGCAACCCGGACGTTGGGTCGGTGTCAGCCACTCTCACCTCCCATTCCCTAGTTTTCCTCCTTTGCTCCCGTCTAGTCACTTCGCACCTTCGGCTAGTCTTTATTCACAGACACATTCCAGGAGTCCCCTCTCCCAGAGCAACAAAGACAGATTTCCAAAGCTACACATCCCAGAGAGAACGGATTCTTGGGAAATGTGGTTCTTTCAGCTGACGCATGGTGACTCTTTACGGAAAAGGACTACAATTCCCAGAAATCCTAGGGAGCATATAGTCCGTGGCTAAAACATGTCCCAGCTCCTTGGATGGAATGGCAGTAAAGGTTCTGTGGCTCTTTACTGACCTAACTCCTTGGATTTTCCTCATTCAGTCCCACTGCAAGCGTGTGGGAGGACTTAAAAAAATGCTATTCACATGTGAAGGAATCTAAATACGATGATTATATGAAGCGATCTCTAAGTCATTTTATTTTATAATTCTTTCAGACAAAAATCTACGTACCATCAGAAACTATGTCTCTGCAGATGGTAACAGTCAGTAATAACATAGCCTTAATTCAGCCAGGCTTCTCACTGATGAATTTTGATGGACAAGTTTTCTTCTTTGGACAAAAAGGCTGGCCCAAAAGATCCTGCCCCACTGGAGTTTTCCATCTGGATGTAAAGCATAACCATGTCAAACTGAAGCCTACAATTTTCTCTAAGGATTCCTGCTACCTCCCTCCTCTTCGCTACCCAGCCACTTGCACATTCAAAGGCAGCTTGGAGTCTGAAAAGCATCAATACATCATCCATGGAGGGAAAACACCAAACAATGAGGTTTCAGATAAGATTTATGTCATGTCTATTGTTTGCAAGAACAACAAAAAGGTTACTTTTCGCTGCACAGAGAAAGACTTGGTAGGAGATGTTCCTGAAGCCAGATATGGTCATTCCATTAATGTGGTGTACAGCCGAGGGAAAAGTATGGGTGTTCTCTTTGGAGGACGCTCATACATGCCTTCTACCCACAGAACCACAGAAAAATGGAATAGTGTAGCTGACTGCCTGCCCTGTGTTTTCCTGGTGGATTTTGAATTTGGGTGTGCTACATCATACATTCTTCCAGAACTTCAGGATGGGCTATCTTTTCATGTCTCTATTGCCAAAAATGACACCATCTATATTTTAGGAGGACATTCACTTGCCAATAATATCCGGCCTGCCAACCTGTACAGAATAAGGGTTGATCTTCCCCTGGGTAGCCCAGCTGTGAATTGCACAGTCTTGCCAGGAGGAATCTCTGTCTCCAGTGCAATCCTGACTCAAACTAACAATGATGAATTTGTTATTGTTGGTGGCTATCAGCTTGAAAATCAAAAAAGAATGATCTGCAACATCATCTCTTTAGAGGACAACAAGATAGAAATTCGTGAGATGGAGACCCCAGATTGGACCCCAGACATTAAGCACAGCAAGATATGGTTTGGAAGCAACATGGGAAATGGAACTGTTTTTCTTGGCATACCAGGAGACAATAAACAAGTTGTTTCAGAAGGATTCTATTTCTATATGTTGAAATGTGCTGAAGATGATACTAATGAAGAGCAGACAACATTCACAAACAGTCAAACATCAACAGAAGATCCAGGGGATTCCACTCCCTTTGAAGACTCTGAAGAATTTTGTTTCAGTGCAGAAGCAAATAGTTTTGATGGTGATGATGAATTTGACACCTATAATGAAGATGATGAAGAAGATGAGTCTGAGACAGGCTACTGGATTACATGCTGCCCTACTTGTGATGTGGATATCAACACTTGGGTACCATTCTATTCAACTGAGCTCAACAAACCCGCCATGATCTACTGCTCTCATGGGGATGGGCACTGGGTCCATGCTCAGTGCATGGATCTGGCAGAACGCACACTCATCCATCTGTCAGCAGGAAGCAACAAGTATTACTGCAATGAGCATGTGGAGATAGCAAGAGCTCTACACACTCCCCAAAGAGTCCTACCCTTAAAAAAGCCTCCAATGAAATCCCTCCGTAAAAAAGGTTCTGGAAAAATCTTGACTCCTGCCAAGAAATCCTTTCTTAGAAGGTTGTTTGATTAGTTTTGCAAAAGCCTTTCAGATTCAGGTGTATGGAATTTTTGAATCTATTTTTAAAATCATAACATTGATTTTAAAAATACATTTTTGTTTATTTAAAATGCCTATGTTTTCTTTTAGTTACATGAATTAAGGGCCAGAAAAAAGTGTTTATAATGCAATGATAAATAAAGTCATTCTAGACCCTATACATTTTGAAAATATTTTACCCAAATACTCAATTTACTAATTTATTCTTCACTGAGGATTTCTGATCTGATTTTTTATTCAACAAACCTTAAACACCCAGAAGCAGTAATAATCATCGAGGTATGTTTATATTTATTATATAAGTCTTGGTAACAAATAACCTATAAAGTGTTTATGACAAATTTAGCCAATAAAGAAATTAACACCCAAAAGAATTAAATTGATTATTTTGTGCAACATAACAATTCGGCAGTTGGCCAAAACTTAAAAGCAAGATCTACTACATCCCACATTAGTGTTCTTTATATACCTTCAAGCAACCCTTTGGATTATGCCCATGAACAAGTTAGTTTCTCATAGCTTTACAGATGTAGATATAAATATAAATATATGTATACATATAGATAGATAATGTTCTCCACTGACACAAAAGAAGAAATAAATAATCTACATCAAGTTTGACATGTTTTCCTGAATTACTTGTATGCATTTTCTTTAAGGATTTCCCCTCCCCATTATATGATGCATGAATGATGTGCCAAAGTCAGTCATTTGAACTAATTATTTGTGAGAATTTTCATGGAAAACTGGAGCCCATTGCTACTTAGTACTCTGGAAAAAGGAAGTGAGTAAGAATACAATAAGAAAGGACCACCAAATAAATCTCATGGAGAAGAATAATATTATTTCCCAAAATAATGTAAGTTTAAAGAATTTCATGACATTTACAGGCAGAAGATTTAAATGGAGGAAAAGAAATGTATTTGTGTGAGTGTGTGTGTGTGTGTGTGTGTGTGTGTAGTTAACATGTGGAGATTGCTGCCAGTGAATATTATAAAATCAGTGATCTTGCCAAGGTCTAATTAGACACTCGCTAGGATGAAACTAGTTAAAATGACTGTTAATTTTAAGGGTTCAAGACATCAGTTGATAACTAGATGACCTTAGAAACAAATGTCTTTCCTCCTGAAATATTTTCCGGAAAAAAAAATTTTCTGGAAAAACCTTATCTTAAGAGCTTCAGCCACAGTTACAGTGAAGACTCTTACTCCTCACTGAAAGTCTACAGTGTGTAAGGTACAACTAACAAATTTACGGGAAACATGAATTATGCAAGAGATGAAACGCTGGAGTACAAGTTCTTCTGCTGAAAGTTCCATGTCCCCAGATACTGAAATTAACTTTGATAAACTGAATCATATTCACTCTGTTTCAATAATGTTGCTCGCTGAATATTCCTGTTGAACAATTGTTGCACATTGATTTGATCTTTTGTTGTTTCCATCACCTATATAAAAATAATAAAATATAAAAATCTTCTATTTATATTGATTTACTCTAATTATTAAGATATGTTACCTAAATAACGGCAAAATTAAACTAATTTTTTCAGGATCACTCCACTTTGATTTTTTTTTCTATTTGTTAGTAGAAAATGGCACAAGTTGGAGCGAAAATATCCTTTACAGAGTCCAAAAGTGAAATTTCCCCAAGGAGTAGGTATATTCTCTCTTCTTGATTTGTCTGCAGTGATTTGGTGGCTAAAGAATTATTACCACATATTTATTTTGTAGCCAATGAGATCCAGATATGGTAATCTAAGTGATTCAGTTGTGAACTCACTGAATTTCATAGTCAAACTCAGATCTCACCAGTATAGCTGCTTTTGGGGGAGGGTGTGTGTGTGCGTGTGTGTGTGTGTGTGTGTTTCAAGAGCATGCAGATTGGTTATACAGATTATATATTTGAGTACAATTAAGTCTTTTTTATGTCATCTCAGCAATCAGTTTATTCGATGTGACTTTAAGATAACGGTCACTGCTTTTCAAATAAGCTGATGCAAACATTCAAATGAGCCGTGTTAGAAGAGCAGACACCTATTTCAACAATATTGCCTTTGCCTAAAATGTTTCAGGGACTCACATTTCAATCAATCACCTTCAGAATCCATGATTCATTCCCTTGAAGATGTTCAACAGCTGTACCTCTTTCTTCATTAAAGATGGATTTAATTTCTGGAAACAGACAAGTGTCATTTGAAATCTAGCAGAGTGAGATTTTCAGTATTACACTACCACTTTAGGTCAAAAACAAAGTGTGAATACAAGCTAACAAAATGGATTTTCTGATATGGCTTATGAATGGGTTTTAAAGGAAAGTCTCAAAATTGTTTGCACAAGACTACAGGAGTAGTATCAAGAAATAAGTATATGACTTCCCAGGGTAATCATTTTAGGGGACTATACACATCTCTAAGTACAGGTGAGTTCAATGTGTTAGGGGAAAGGGAAAGTGTAAAGAAAAAGAAATTGTTATTCCAAAGGCTCTGGGGAGAGATGAAGCTTGCTACTTTTGAAGAACTGAAAGGTCAGCCTGGTTAAAACACAGTAAACAAGTAGGGGTGGAATGGCATGAGCCCAGAGAGGCAGGCAGGGGCCAGGGATCCAATTTTTCATCAGTAAAATAAAATCATATTCTGCTCTGCCCATATAGTAAGCAGTTATAAGGGCCAAGCACATTATTATAAACTGAAAAATAATGTATACTCTTGTTATACTTGTGTTCAAAAACATAGTTTCATTATTCTCTATCATTGTGAAATAAATCCAGACACTCTGAGTAAAAATTATTTAAGAGGGTATTTGCCAGAGATTTTACCATAATAAACATACATAATACACATTCCAACTGACAAATACAAAATCTAGATGACACATCGTCAAGGACTACATAAAAATATTTTAGGTAGCCTGATGGGAGGAAGACTAATGGTCTTGAATTATGGTTAATAAGAGGATTAATAAAACAATCTAGATTAGAAGATATAATTGATGGTATGTGATCTCATCTTGCATTGAAAGTCAAATTATAAGATCAGATTTGTCAGAAATAATACTCTTTTTGGTAGACCATAAATTGATAAAACGAAGAACTTGAAGTTTGGTAAAGAGATAAATCACTCATTTAGCATAGTATGAACGGTCCATTGACCTGTTCCCTCCTGGCTTATTTCTTAGCCCCACTACTCACTTCGCACTTTATACTCAATTTCCAAAATGCCAAACTGATAACACTCCTAGTGAGTACCCCTGGTTGTTTCAAACCCCAGGGCCTTTGAGCAAGCTGTTCCTTCTGCAGAGAATACTTTCCCTCTTGCACTTTGCAGCTCCTGCTAATGCCCTGGTCCATCTGGCCCAGTTCTATTCACTCTTTACATCCTAGTTTAGATACCTCCTCCCTCTAGAAGCCTTCTCTGAACCCACTATCTTTTACAGCTTACATACTCAGGGTGCAAGAAATAAACCTGGCTGTATTTTTCTCTAACTCAGCTTACATTGTATTATGCATCTCTTTGACTGTATGCTGGAAATACAATTTCAACAATTTTAGAGTTCTACCTATTTTTACCCAACCTTTCATCCAAGTTCCAGGGAGAAATATAATGCTGAGTTGTCAGGAGAGGGGTGAGGAAGGGTGAAGTGTCTGGTCCTTAGGGTCATCATTCCTCCTCATTAACTTCAGCTACAACATCCATTGCCATTATCAGACTTGGAGGATGATCCTGAATTGCAGCCCAGTCTTCACTGCAAGTCGTCCTTATGTCTAGCCCTCTCTATGCTGCTTTCTGGGTCTCTGGTGGGCTCACATGATGACAAGGAGATCATTCAGCCTCTTCCTTTCCCAGCATGGCCAAATGGTCTCTTTGGGACCATCTAGGAAATTGTCTATTTCTGTACCTTTCTTGGGCACATCTTACTACTCTTGCAGCTTTCTGGACCACAGATTCTCGTCCGAACTATCACTGGCTAAACACACATCACTACCATTTCACCTCTGGATGTTACTGCTTTCCTGGGCCCTATCACGGAAGTAAGATGCACATCCTCACTGCTCCTGACTCCCAGAAACTAATCTGGGATTCCTATTGCTCTCCCCAACTCCACAGCTCAGCCCAAGGTATATTGTACAAAGAGTTCTTTTCCCTGGGACCCACATTGTCTACTCACTCCATCTTTGTCTCGAATTCACTTCTCAAAAATCTTTATCTAGGTATGGAAACAGTTTCTTGTCATCATGCTTACCAAATGCATATTTATTGCATGAAAGAATGAATACTGAATGACTGAGGGCATGACAGAATAGCTCTTACTCATCAGATACTCTTCAAAACATAATGCTAATATTTTCCATTTCCCCATGAAGCATAGACTATTTTTTCTTTTTCTTTTTTTTTCTTTTTCTTTCTTCTTTTTAGATTTCTTTTATTTAGAGATGGAGTATCACTCTGTCACACAAGGCTAGAGTTCAGTGGCACCATCATGGCTTTCTGCAACCTCTAACTCCTGGGCTCAAGAAATCCTCTGACCTCAGCTCCCGAGTAGCTAGAGCTTCAGGTGCATACCACCATACCCAGCTAATAGTTTTATTTTTTGCAGAGATGGGGTCTCCATATCTTCCCTAGGCTAATCTTGAACTCGTGGCCTCAAGCAATCCTCCTGTCTCAGACTCCCAAAGTACTAGGGTTATGGGAATAAGCCAATGCACCAGCTCCCAAAGCATAGACTTTTCACACTCAAATCTTGAATAAAAGAAAGATCTAGGAGGAAAACTAGTCAAGTACTATCTCACAGTATTATATAACACAGGGTCCATCACATCCTCCCTGGTACTGCTTCAACATCTTGTAATTATTTCTGTTGTTACACCTAAATGAGTAAAAAAGTACTACTTGGTAAGTATTCTAAGTGTCTGACTCTTCTAAACAACTATGCATTTCATGAGGACTAGAACAATGTTTTTTATTATTTTTATGTCAAGTACTTAATATAATGCCTGGTATACCTTAGGCAAAGTGTTGTTAAGCTGAATTGAATTAAATACATTACTGAGTTGCATCTGCCTTTTATTGTGAGTAACCAAAGTGACGTATCCTTTATCTAGCAGAACACTAATTATACTTTGTTACATTTGTTATAATTACTTATAACTTCTCTTTTCCTCTTCTTATCTCTTAATTCCATCATGACAGATATCTTAATTGTTTATTATTATTGAATCTCCAGTATCCAGCAGAGTGCCTAGTGCTAAATATACATGTGTTTATATAGATATTGCATAGATATGTACACACACACACACACACACACACACACATATATATATATACACACACAGAGAGAGAGAGAGAGAGAGTAAAAGCTTAAAGCAACTAAAGAAGCAAGGGATATGAGCTTAAATGAAACCAACAAACTTCTGGCTGATGGCAAAGGTAAGAATAGGAAAATATGTATTAGGATAATTAACACTAGCTGCTGTAACAAAAACTCTGAAACACTTCAGTAAGTCGTTTAAAGTTTATTTCTTGCTCATGGAAAATCCAATGCAGGTGTTCTTATCAGGTTATTCACCTGAGTGACTCTCCTCCAAGATTTGTCTCAGGGATCCAGGCTTTTTCTGTTTGGCAACTCTACCATCTTTATCTCCATCATGTGTCCCCCAAGACTTCAGATACAAAAAGAAAAAAAGAAAGAAAGAGAAAGAGAAAATGTGGGGAAGGCACACTCACTTGTAAATGTTTCAGCCTGCAAATGATAAAATCATTTTCTCTGACTTTCATTGGCAAAAGCTAGTCACATGGCCCCACCTAGATGCAAGGAGGCTGGGAAATGTAGTTTAACTATGTGTCTATAAAAGGGAACTGTAAGTGACAAGCATTTAGCCAGCATCTGACACAGTATATATTTTAAACATCCCAACTGCAATAGCCCCATTTACCCTGAAATAGTAATGAATGGTACCAGAATAGCTCTTGTAAGCTAAAACAAAAGTACATGCTGTGTGATATGGTTTGGCTGTGTCTGCACCCAAATCTCATCTTGAATCCCCATGTGTTATGGGAGGAACTGGTGGGAGGTAACTGAATCACAGGAGCAGGTCTTTCCCTTGCTTTTCTCATGATAGTGAATAAGTCTCATGAGATCTGATGGCTCTATAAGGTGGAGCTTCCCTGTACAAGCTCTCTCTTTGCTGCTGCCTTCCATATAAGACAAGAATTGCTCCTCCTTGCCTTTTGCCTTGATTGTGAGGCCTCCCCAGCCTCATGGAACTGTAAGACCATTAAATTCTTTTTCCTGTATAAATTATTCAGTCTCAATTATGTCTTTATCAGCAGTGTCAAAATGGACTAATATACACACTGTGTATATTCATTGCCACTGCTTTTCTTACCTTTTATTACCTTTTGCCTTTACTATTTAAACAATCTCCTAACTGGTCTCCCTGCCTTCACCTTGTCTCCTTCCAATCCTCTAACTGTACTGAGACCACAATGAACATTCAAAAATAAAAATCTGATGTTTCACTGATGAAAACTCTTTCATCAGTGCTTTCCCATCTTCCATGAGAAAAAAAAATCCAAATGTCTCACTAAGGCAAAATATGATTCTGTAGGCCCATCCTTCCCTCTACACACACACTGCTAGTACTCATTCTCTATCAATGCTGGAAATCCTCCACCTGAAAAGTCCTTCTCCCTGGTTAATAACTATCATCTTTCAAGATTTAGTTCTTCTCTGTAAAGCCTTTCGTTTAAAAAGTGTGGAATATTCACCTCTCTATCCAAACCATCTCTTTTTATAGCACCTGTCAACTTATAAACATTTATGTATATGCCTGATCTTCAAATAGAGAAGCTATTTGATAATGGGCTCCTTAAAAGAAAGGAAAGTTTCTTTCTCAGTTGCATGTTCTTAACAGAAGGCATAGCTTCTCATACATTATAGTTGCTCAATGAATATTCATTGAATTGAATTACGTTCACTCTATAGGGACTGAAATTTATTCACTTCTGCAGCTATTGTCTTACTATCTTTCTGATTCTTTAATACATGAAGGAGGAGCTGTGGAAATAAACTATGTGTTCCAAATATCTTGATCAATTAAAATATCTCACAGAACTTGGAAATCAAAAGTACAGCAAAATTCACAGAAGGAGATGAGCTCTTAGGTTATATTTATTCTCCTTTCTGGTGAAAAGAGATCACACAGGATTAAAATAGATATCATGGTAAATTTTAATAGAATAGACAGCCGTTGTAATACACAGTGACAAGAATTCCAAATTACTTACATGCCACAAAACTCCACTCTAGCATAGAATACTGCTTTTTGACTTGGACTTTACCATAGATGATAGCACATTTTTCAAACCTAATTCTGTCAACAAACATCTAACATTGCACACTTACTTCTAAGAAAAGCAATTCTTCATCCTGTCTCCAGATATCAATCCAAAAAAAATGTGTGTATTCACTTAAATCACAATTTGTGAGAATAGAAAAGTTATCAATACCAGTCCTTTTAAGAGGCTGGTTAAGAATAAAAATCCCCTGAATCCATGGCTCAATTCCTCTACCAGTAGGCTCATTCAGGGTATCCATCAGTAAGCATTTATTGAAAATCCAAGATTCACATTAAATATTATGAGAACTGCAAAAGAAATATAAAACATCAGACTCACCTTTAGTGAATCAATACTCTCACTATAGAATGGGGAAAAGGGGCAGGACAAGAGAGTTGTGGACAATAGAATAATAAACTCATAGCAATGGGTGACAAATTTGAAACTGTGTAGTCCAGGCTGTCCGTGCAATAACAGTTCATTTTTTCCTTTAACTTGGGATATACTGGGAAAATTAAGAAATTGGGCTAAAGTATTTCTAAGTTACCTGTGTTTTCTTTTGCCCTGCTGAAGAGATGTTGTGACCAAGATAACTGGAAATGTAGAAAAGACTATTTGAAATGCTATGCAAAATGTATAGTGATAACGCAAAAGAGGTAGGGTTTGTGTGTGTGCAAAATATGGATAATCATCAACTTTGTATTATGAAAGTGTATTAGTTTCTTGAGGAAAAAGATGAAAAAAATCTATGTGAGATTAGGTATTTATTTAGACCTTGATCAGACCTTAGTATAAAAATAATTTGCAGGTCTTGGCCTCCAAGTAAGTTGGTATGTATTTTGCAATGGCACAAATATGTTGTCATCATCAAAAAGAAGAAAAAGATTATATAAAGGCCAAAAGGGGGAAAAAAGAAAATTTCCAAAGAAACAAGGAAAAAAGCCAGAGAAAGAAACGCTGACTTCATTTTTAAAAATGAGGCTATCAAGGACTGCAGAACCTTCCTTCATCTCCTCCTGCCTTGAGTTGGGCACAGTCATCTAAAGAAGTGAGACATGTGAATTAGGAGGCAGGGTATCATTGAAGAGAAAAAAAATGCTTGAAATTGCTACTCCATCATTTAGATTTATATGCATAACGCTTCTTAAACTTGGATCAATTCCCTCACACTTTATAGCTTCCAAAAGCATTTCACTTGTGCCCCACTGCTGGTGTGGTGTGGATCGACTCATGGCCTGCCTCAAACTCTTCAGTAGTTTTTCCATTTGCACTTCTGGTGGGACTCAAGTCCATTGGGTCCTGCATGATAAAACCTCTGCCTGATTCTCCAGAGCAGCGCCTCCCTCAGGCTGCTCCTGTGCACTTACCTTCCTTCAGGTCCTAAACACTGACAATTGCTCTCTCCTCACAGAGTCTTCCCACAGGCTAAGTTTACTCCAGGTCTCTCACTCCATCCAGGTAACCTACCTGACCTCACCCACTCATTCTCCCAGTCTCCACTGAAAAGTTCCTTCTTCCTAGATGCTTTCTCTGATACCGCAGGTTAAATTCTATTGTCCTATCATACTTCATAATGCACCTATTGTGCTCTGATCACATTTAGTGTTTTTCCTTCATAACACCTACTAGTGTGCGGCTATGCATTTAGAGTCTTATTGTTGATTTGAAGTCTATCCCTCCCTAGCTGTTTATGAGCAGAAACTGTCTATGTTCTTCACCACTGTATCTCCTGTGCCAAGCCCACATTGCCCATAGAAGGCATCTTACAAATATGTATTTAATATATAGGCTGAAGTAACTAGAAAGGGTGAGAAGGATGCAGACCTTACCTGGGTCTTAAAAGGTAAAAAGGTGCTACATTCTGAAAGGTAGAGATAGCACTCAAATATTCAAATATTTAAAAACCCAGGTCCAGAGGCCTCCGGCAGTGCTGCAAGTTACTTGCTGGATTGTGGAGTGATCCACAGTTCCTGAAAGATGGAGAAGGGCTGCGAGAGTAGCATAAGGGCACTTGGGTCTTGGGCCACAGGGCTATTTACCTACAAATACAAACATGTTTCAATATTTTTTAAAAAATGGTATAGCTGTGGAGAGACAGCCAGACTGAATCTCAGCCCTGACTGGAAGGGAGCTGGGAAGCCTGCAGCTAAGGTGGGTCTATGGTACTTAAAAATGTGTGGATGTGGCTCTGCCATTTTCTAGCTGAGATAAGCTTCAGTTATTTCAAGTGTAACATGGAGATAATAGGAGTATCCACCTCAAAAGGATCAAATAAGAAAATGTATGCAAAGTGGTTAGCAAAAAAATGTTTGGAAAATGGTAGCTATTATTACTATTATTTATTACTATTATTAAAAGCACTGACTAAAAGCACTTGGACTGTAGCCAGTTCTGCCATTTTCTGAGTGACCCTGGAAAAGTCAACAACTCTGACCAAAATTTTGAGTGTATAAGTGATATTGTTCGGATGTTTGTTCCTCCAAATCTCACTTTGAAATGTAATCCCCAGTGTTGGAAGTGGAACCTGGTGAAAGGTGATTGGATCACAGGGACAGATCCCTCACGAATGGCTTGGTGCTGTCCTCATGATAATGAGCAAGTTCTTGCTCTAAAAGTTCATGCAAGATCTGGTTGTTCAAAGTGTGGAGCACCTTACTCCCACCCCTTGCTCCCACTTTCAGTATGTGACACCAGTGTCATGCTTTCTTTACAACCTGTAGAACTGTGAGCCAAATAAACCTCTTTTCTGTATAAATTATCAAGTCTCAGATATTTCTTTATAGCAATACAAGAATGGTCACATACAGAAAATTGGTACCAAGCGGTGGGACATTGCTGTAAAGATACCCAAAAATGTGGAAGTGGCTTTGGAACTGGGTAACAGGCAGAGGTGAAAATGGAAGAGCCTGGAGGGCTCAGAAGAAGACAGTAAAATGAGGAAAAGTTTGTAACTTATTAGAGACTGGTTAAATGGTTATGATCAAAATGCTGATAGAGATATGGACAGTGAAGGCCAGGGCTAATGAGGTCTCAGATGGAAATGAGGAAGTTACTAGGAACTGGAGTAAAGGTCACCTGTGTTATTCCTTAGCAAAGAGCTTGGCTGCATTGTGTCCACATCCTGGGGATCTGTGAAGGTTGAACTTAAGAGTGATGACTTAGGGTATCTAGTAGAAGAAATTTCTATGCAGCAAAGTATTTAAGATGTAGCCTGACTGCTTATAACAGCCTAAGATCAAATACAGGAGCAAAGGAATGACTTAAATTTGGAATTTATAATTAAAATGATAGCAGAATGTAAAAGTTTGGAAAATTTGCAGCTTGGCTTTGTGATAGAGGAGGAATTCAAGCAGCTACAGAGCAACCACTGGCTAAAGAGATTAGCATGACTAAAAGGGAGCGAAGTGCTACTATCCAAGACAATGGGAAGGTCTTGAAGGCATTTCAGAGATCTTTGAGGCAACCCCTCCCGTCACAGGCCCAGAGGCCTAGGAGGAAAGAATGGTTTCAGGGGCCAGCCCCAGGGCCCTGCTAACTTGCACAGCCTTTGGACACTGCTCTCTGCATTCAGGCCATTCAGCTCCAGCTTTGGCTCAAAGGGCCCCAGATACAGTTCAGGCTGCAGCTCCAGAGGGCACAGCCATAAGCCTTGGCAGCTTCCACATGGTTTTAAGCCTGCAGGTGCTCAGAATGCAGAAGAGAATAAGGCTTGGCAGCTTCACCCTAGATTTCAGAGGATGTATGAGAAAACCTGGGTGCTAAAGCAAAAGCCTACTCTATGGGTGAGCACTTGCAGACAGCCTCTGCTAGGAAAATGCAGAGGGGAAATGTGGGATTGGAGGCCCTATACAAAGTCCCTACCAGGTTATTGCCTAGTGGAGCTGTGGGATGGGACCACCACCCTCTAGCCCCAAGAGTGGTATGGCTACCTGCAACTTGCAACCTCCACAGGGAAAAGCTGCAGTCACTCAACTCCAACCCTTGAGAGCAGCTGTGGGGGCTGCACCTTGCGCAGCCATAGGGGTGGAGCTGCCCAAGGCATTGGAAGTCCACCGCTTGCAGAAACATGCCTTGGATGTGGGACATGGTGTCAACAGACACTATTTTGGAGCTTTAAGGTTTAATGTATGCTCTTCTGGGTTTTCTGTGGTGCCTATTACCCCTTTCTTTTGGCCAATTTCTACCTTTTGGAATGAGAATATCAATCCAGTGCCTGTACCACCATTGCATCTTGGAAGTCAATAATTGCTTTTTATTTTACAGGGTCAGGAAGAAATTTGCCTTGAGTCTCCAATGATGAGACTCTAGACTTAGGACTTCAGGACTTTTAAGTTGATACTTGGAATGAGTAAAGACTTTGGGGGACTGTTGGGAAGGGATGATTGTATTTTGCAATATGAGGGGAACATGAGATTTGGAAGGCCAGGGGCAGAATGCTATGCTTTGGATATTTGTCCTCTCCAATACCCATGTTGAAATGTAACCCCAGTGTTGGAGGTCAGGACTGATGGGAGGTGATTGGATTGTGCGGGCAGATCCCTTATGGATGGCTTGGTACTATTCTCATGATAATGAGCAAGTTCTTGCTCAGCAAGTTTACATGAGATCTGGTCGTGTAAAATTGTGTGGCACCTCCTCATCCATGTTCCCATTCTCGCTGTGTGATGCTCCTGCTTTCCTTTCCCTTTATGCCATGATTGTAGCTTTCTGAGGCCTCACCAGAAGGTGAATTAGATGCTAGTGCCATACTTACTGCAGAACTGTGAACCAATTAAACCTCTTTTCTTTATAAATTACCCAGTCTGATGTATTTATTTATAGTAATGCAAGAATGGCCTAACATAAGCCAGGTGTGGTGGCTCACGCCTGTAATCCCAGCACTTTGGGAGGCTGAGGCGGGTGGATCACGAGGTCAGGAGATTGAGACCATCCTGGCTAACACGGTGAAACCCCATCTCTACTAAAAAATACAAAAAATTAGCCGGGCATGGTGGCGGGCACCTGTAGTCCCAGCTACTCAGGAGGCTGAGGCAGGAGAATGGCCTGAACCCAGGAGGCGGAGTTTGCAATGAGCTGAGATCGCACCACTGCACTCCAGCCTGGGAGACAAAGTGAGACTCCGTCTCAAAAAAGAAGAAAAAAAAAAAAAAAACAAAGAAAAAAGAATGGCCTAATACAATAAGTATGTGAATTTTCTGGAGAATAAGTCTGTATTTTCACCAGTCTCAAAAAAGTTAATAAACAAAAAGATTTACTATTTATCCTATGTATCTGGGGGAAAAAATTGTTTCATCCTACATTAGGATAAATTTTACACATAATCATTATTCTATTGTCCTTTAATCCAAAGACCACCAAATTTATTCTGTATTTCTCTCAAAGTAAAAGACGTTAATTTTTAAATGCTGCACTCAATATTATTATTAATATTTGAATAGAAATTATAATACATACCATTTTCAAATCTTAAACTTTTATTTCAAATATTCAAACATAAAATTGCTGACAATAACCATAATATTAATGAATGGAAATATTAAAATATAAAAAGTATTGAAACTCATATTTCATTTTATTTGAAAACATTTGACATGGAAACACAGGTCCCCTGAATCAAATAAATCCATTGCATCCTGGTACCTGAATTTTCTCTGAAATACAAAAAAAAAAAAGGCTCTTGGAAGCCATTAAACAAAATGTAAGGTTATTTGTAAGAAAATAAACTGAAGTGCAATTCTACAAAACAAAAAATAATCACCAAAAATGATTTCTGAGGTATATTTATGTAGATTACTGTAGTTAAAATAAGAAAATGTAAAATGGGTACAATGTATCTACTCTTACTTAAAATCTTTTAACATCAAAAGAATACATCATCTGTCATACAATCACTGAAGACACACACATATTTGCAATCAAAAACCACCTGCATCCAAATAATGGTTTATTCCTCCCAACTACCACTGGCGCTTATATATCCTGCCTCTTATCTGTGTGGAATTTGAACTCTGTTTGATGTAATGCAAGACCCACACTCTCAACCAAAAAAATCTTTATCTTCTTCTGTATCTTGTGGGAAAAAAATCTGAGGCAAAACTAAATTCCAGTTCACCTGGAAGAAAAAGACATCTTTTTCTCCTCCTCTTGCTTCTCAGTGCATGTTTATTAATCCCAAGGCTCCTTTTGACCTCACTGACCAATCATCAATTTTCATCAGCCATTATCACTGGTCCCTGCAATGCACCTGAGTGGCTTGGCAGGAAAACTTGTAGATTCAGGTTTCACAGGAGAAAAATACATTGCACTTCTGAAGTCCCAGTATATACTTCACACATACACACACAAATGCTCGATTCAGTGTGGTGAATTTCCCTGGAGTATATAATTGCACTTGCAATAGGCATTGCTAAAAATAAAACTCTAGTATAAAACTAGGGTCTAGGATATTGCAGTCTCAACAGTAAGGGCAAAAAACCATAGGCAGCGTTTCTACATATTGAAATTCCTGCAGCCAGATGTTCCCAGGGTTTATCAAAATGTGATCTGATTAAGGGATTATTGGAAAGGTTGTGCTATAAATCATGCTCTTAGTCACATGCATTCAAAATAGTTCCTACAGTGTTAGAAAAGGATAATTTAATACTGGAAAGTATTTACAGTGCCACCAATAGAGAAAAAGAGTAGAAATGGGTAAAAAATCTATAAACCAGCATGACCATGCTTCAGTAAATAGGATGATTATGTGAATTTAGCTGTTTATTAGTGCAGAGACATGCTGGAAGGATTAAGCAGGATGAAGGGAAAGTGTGGCTTAGTGGCCCACTCATTTCCAAAAAAACAAAACCAAGAGTTTTCAAAAAAACTAATGTTAAAATATGTATATGTTTTTGACAACTAAATTAGAAATGACTTTGATATTCTGCATATAAAAAGCAAGGAAAACTGCTGTGTTTTTTAATGAAAGATACTGAGTTCAATCCCTGAAGAAGCACCAAATACATACAATTAAAGATAATGTCGCCGATGCACTTTTGACAACTAAATTATCAAGCTCTTTGATATACTGTGTATGAAGAGTAGCAATTATGGCCAATAAAATCAAAGGAAGAAAAAACTAATTAACACTAACATATCATTATGACTCACTAGCATATAAAATTCCATGCCTGCTCTACATTGCCAGCAACTGGCAAATCCCAGATTCCTAAGGATGCAGATCATAGTTTCCAAATAACTGGAGCCACAAGAGGGTTAGGGGGCCCTTTGGAGCTTTTGTGTTGCTTTCTTCTATCAAAAGAGCCAGAGCACACAAATGATTTAAAAACTTGCTTACCCCTGCCCCATAAAAATGTAATCCCAAGGTCATGTGCTATAGTGATTAGTTGTGAATCCTAAAAAAATTCTGATACTACCTTATAAACATAGTGATTAATTTGTGGTGGAAAGAAGAAGGGCTTTGGAGACAAAAGGACTGTGTTAAATTTCCAAGCCAAGTATTTATTACCCCTAAATGACTTTGAGCAAATCATTTAAACCCCCATCAAATGGAGATAATAACAACACCTACTCCTCAGAATTGTTGTAAGGAAAAATGAGTGTGAAAACATTCCACAGTGGTAAAAAGCACTGTGTAAATGTTAACTCTTCTGCTGTACTGCGTTTGGACTCCATCTAAACTTAGCGGATGGAAAAATACAAGGTTATCCTGCTACACAATTCTGAATCCACTGAAAGTAAACTGATCATTATAGAAAGAATAACACATTGCAGAGGAGAGGACTCTATGAAACCTAGATTTAGAAAAATTGATTCAGGTTTCATTTGGAGAAAGTCTGGCAAAATGTTTCAGTAAGACATGAAATATATTTTTAGACATCAAGCTAACCTATATTTTTACAAGCCTCTGTGGCTTTAAGACTGTATGCAGAAGCTCTAAATTTGGAAACTCTAAATTTCTTGAAATGAAAAAGTAAAAATAAAGAATCATACTTGGCTTCTGATAGCTAAGTAAACATATATTATCAGAAGATTTAATAACTAACTGTAGCTAACAGGTGTATTCTAAATTCATTATTGAAAAATCCATGACAGCAGATGACCTCCTAAACTCTGAAGGTTACAATAGATACATAATTTAAACATAAAAAAGGACTGATTTTCTCAAAGTTGTCCTGATGTAACATATTTATATAACGAATGGGTAAATGCATTGAGAGCACTTTGTAAAGGTCATCATGCTGTACAAATGTAAGATATTATTAGAAAAATTTAAAAAGCTCTTTTGAATCTTATATAGCAAGCCAAGATATGTAAAATTATAAAAATGAAGAATTATTCAAAAATGAAATAGAAGGCACTTATCATATCTCAATACAAAATATAATCAATCAAGGGGGAAAAAAATGAAAACCACAAGACCAATTTCTTTCCTGGCCTCACTGGCTGTTCTTTGACAACCTTGGCTTTGATTTACATGACAGCTCCCCAACACACACAGATCTTTGCTCATCTCTGGTCCCCTGCAGTTACTCCTGTTCTGAGTTACTGAGCTTTCAGATAACTGATTTTTCCTGTTGCTTTTCGGAACTCACTAAAAGCCTCAAGCAATCAGCTCATCAGTTTCTATTCCTGACTTGAGAGCATCTGTAGCATCTTACTCCAACCTACCACCTCTTGGATGGTGAAGCCCCATACACAGCAGTAAAGGGTGCTAGGAGAAGCCCTCAATGCAACCCAGAGGGAAACTCAATTGCAAAAACCAACTCATAAGTGGTTGCCCTACTTAAAATTCCATTGAATCTTGGCTTTCCAGAGAGTCCTCTATGCCTAATGGGTCCCCTAAGCTTGCCTGAGGGTTCATGGTAAACCCAGAGGTTTTTAATGCATTATGAGCATTCATAAACTTCTGGAGGTATTTGGAGGTGTACAACCAGTGGTGTTTCAGGACATCTTCCATCTCATAGCATTTGGACTGCCTGGCATTCATTTTCCGGAAGCGCCTAAACAGTTTGTTACCAGACTCATTTCCCTCACTTGCCCATGCCCCAATGGAGCCATCCCTCTCAATAATTTCAGGAACATGGGCCAGGGTTTTGTGAAAATAATTGGTGATTTTTCCCTCATACCTATACTTGAACTTCGTAGAAAGGAGCTCAGCAAAACGCTGTGAATTGAAACTGTACTGGCAGAGGGATTCTGGGCACTCTTTAGCAGGGCATGATGATCGCCATACTGGTTTCATCTTCAGGTAAAGATCCATCAGCTCCCTCAGAGCCTCGTGCCTCTCCTCGGAAGGAATTAACTCACAAACTGCATCCACAGTCTCTTTGGTCATGAGCTTCCTGGCAAAGTTGCCATTCATCCTCATGATTGGTTTGAGGTTCATCTTCTTCCGGAGATGCTTGTCCAGTGTGGCCTGCCACCTTTTCCTTTCCTCTTTGGAAGCATTGGGATTCTTATACACTTCCCCTATCTCTAGCTGGAAGATCTTGTAGAACTCAGCTGCATTGCCAATGTCACAGTGGAGTGCATCTATGGAAGGGACTGTCTCAATGAAAGGTTTAGCTGAGACCCCTTTCACCCGATCCCGCAGTTCTTCCACAGACTCATGGTAAGGGTTGGAACGCCAGACCTCATAACGTTCCAGGTTCTCAGCATGGCTTCTGGTTATAGAGTGGAAGACAAGATTTTGAGAGGCTTCCAGACGGGTGGCATCACAAAGAGTACAAATGTAGACTGAGCCAGAAGCCTCGAGGCCTTCCACTTCCCGCACAAGTTTTTCATCATAGCCGGTGCCCCTGAAGATGAACTTGAAAGTCCGGAGAATGCCTCCCAGCTCAAGCATTAATTCACTGCTCTTCATGGCCTCCCTCTCAGCAATGAGAGGACTCAGGATGGCAGTCAGCGTCTCGTGGTCAGACTCATCTGCCAGCATAAGGCACAATGGCTTGCAACACAGTTCAGAGTTAGGTTTGGCTTCTTCAAATACTTTCACATTCTGAGAGCTGTGGGCAATAGTAATTTTCATGATTGTGAATGAAAAACGGACTGCCTTTTCTGGAACTACA